>NC_000004.12:115436532-115588047 GCF_000001405.40 Homo sapiens
ATGGATATTTGACTATGTGGAGGGTCAGTGTTCCTAATTTTTGTGTCATTCCAAAGTCAACCGTACTTACTTGGCTGCTAGGTATGCCATCCCTAACATACAACTCTGACCATGATTTGATTGTCATTCCTCTTAAGCTTACCTGGAAGACAATCAGAAACTGCAGAAATGGTCCCAGTTTAAAGCAGCTATAATTGTTTTCTATTCTCCATCATTCCTTTGGGTGGATGAATGCAACCTGGCTGGTGGCATGAACAAACAGGACAGGTGGTACTGACTGATCTCAGGTATTTCTCTATAAAAGGACTAGACTCAATTATTCTAAATGAACTGGGAACTCTAACTCCAATCAGCCTGTTGGGTGACCACATAGGGAGTATTTCACCTTTGCCTCCCTATTAATGCAGGTCCTATCTGGAAAGCCCCAACAAGTGTAAATATTGCTTTCTTTCCAGGGGCACTATGTGCACTTTTGGGACTCTATTTTCTGTATGTAAATTAGCCATTAATTTGCCTCTCGACTTGACACAGTGACTTGAATCTTGGGCAGGTCATACGTTACCTTCAAGTATTTAAAGAAATATCACCTCAGTCTTGGAAGGCATTTGGTTCAACTTTAACTCACTGGCTAGAGTGGTTATGGAATGTGTGCAATCTTGCTGTACCTAGATTAATGCCTCAGGACAAATGGAAATGTCAGTAAGTAACGTGGCTTTGTATGGTAGATATTGATGGTTTAGCGAGTTTTCTCAGCCAGGACCTGGAGGGCATGGCTGAAGTCAATACTGCAGATCGAGCTCATCCTTTTGCTTGGAGTCCTGTTGATAACAACCTTATTCAATGCAGTACAAGAAAAAAAAATGATCAGATTAGGTTTCAGCTCCTATTGAACAGATTAATCAGAGGAGATGAGTGAAGTGCTCATGAAAAAATTCATCTGAAGCCAAGTAGGCATAAAAACATAGAGTTGTTAATGTTAGAAGAAAATCCTCAATGGATCCCTTATGTTTCTTCTGTTCTTCTCAGGAAAGACTTTCTTTCTGGACTATCTTCTCAAAATTTCTGTATAGCAGCGATTTTAGTAGTGTACTGGATAGTGTCTTCCTCCAAACAGAGGCTAGATTTCTTTTCTGATCAAGTCAACAAAGATCTCTCCGTGATGGGCACAGACTGGCAGGTTTACCACCAGCTCATCTATAACAATTGGGGTTTCCTAAGCTTGGGGATACAGAGCTGTGATGTCCACATTGCCCTCGTGTGATTGGGATCAAGTGGAAACCAATACAAACATGCAACTCATACTACCTGGTGTTTTGTGAGTAAAAGTCATTGTTAGAGCAAATAATTTTATATTTTCTGCCAGTATCCATTAACCTATGCAACCACATTGTTAGCTTGCAGGTAGTGTAAAACCTCAGACCCGTCACTGGTCACTGGTCTTGCTACCCACATTTACTCCTCTGTCATGCAAAGGAAACAAGACTAGAATCTAGATCTCATATTTCTCAGTAATACAATTTTTACATGCAATCATGATATTTGTTATTACTCCTAAGCTATCCACTGGGAATATACGCTCTAAATACATTCTGACATAATAAAAAAGTATTCCATGTGTCCTTATTTCTAATATTTAAGAATACATTTCTTGGAATAAACAGCAACATCCAGAAGTTTATTGAAATCATGTTTTCCTATAGGAAGAGTTCACCACAGTCACGTTGATTTTAAACTTGGGAATCTTATTTTTTTATTTCAAATTGAAACTGAGAGAGTAATCAGCAACAACAGGGCTGTAGGGGAAAACAGATGCTGAAGTAAAAGTAGCTTTGGTTCTTCGAATTACAGAGATTTACTTTGTTACAAGATTTATGTACAACCTAAAGCAATGCACATTAAAAAATACATCCTGGGTGATTAATCTGCAGTCTTTGGAAAAAACAATGCAAACTTGAAATTTTTTGATAAAAACTTTAAAATAATGTGCTTCGGGAGTTATATGTCATAATTCTTAGATAATTCAAGATATTAAAATTCTCATAAAAGCTATAATAGAAAAGTTAGTATTTATAATTTATAATATGGCATATAATAAATTAATTTGAGCATTTGATTTTATGACATAAGATTATGTTATTACATATTTATAACCATCATGTAAATATAATGAATTTCTACAAACAGATTATTCTTGAAGTATATTTATCACAAATCACATAGAACCTTGTTTCTTCAAAAAGTGTAGGCTAGTTCTGAGAATAATTAACTGACGATAACCTTAATAAAACGAACACAATAAAATACGTTTTATTTATTTTGATAGGAATTCATTCAGAATCAACTGAGTCTAAATTATAAAATAAATTTAACCAGGCTGCAAAATAGCCTTTATATATTTATATTAATAAAATACATAAATAATATATAGTATGTATTTATTAGCCTACTTAATTCATGAATGTACTGCTTCAAAAAATCTTTGGATTCCTAGATCTAGTTTCAATATGAAGGAAAAAAATGTTTAAGAGTAGTGTATCCTGTCCAGGGGAACTGTGACAGTTTCTGAATAAGTACATCTTGTGTTATGCAAAAGATATATATTTAATTCATCCTTCTCAAATTCTTGTGTTTTTACCAAGCTATATAATTTTAAAACATGAAGAATTCTCCATGTAATAAATATTTTAAGGTTTTTGTTTCAGCCTAAATACCTTTCTCAACATTTCAGGCACAAGTAAATCTATACCATTTTGCTATTGCTCATAATTTCTTTTTTTCTCCACTTTTTAAAATTCTCTATTTCATTTTGAATTATGCCTACCATTGTAGGTTTAATTATTTCTCCACAAAAGATATGTTGAAGTGTTAAACCCCACTGCTTATAAATGTGAGCTAATATGAAAAGAGGGTCTTTGCAGCTGTAATTATGTAGGAAGTCATACTGAATTAGGGTAAACCTTAAATCCAATATGAATGGTATCCCTATAAGAAGTCACACACACACACACACACACACACACACACACACACACACACACGCTAGAGTGATGCATCTATAAGCCAAGGAACACCAGTGATTTCCGGCAATAAACAGAAGCTAAAATAAACAAGTAACGACTCCCATATAAACTTTACAGAGATGCTCTGCTAGGTGCTAGATTTCAGACTTCTAGAACTGTGAAGGAATAAATTTCTGTTGTTTTAAGTCACCGAGTTTGCAATCCTTTGTACATAAGCTAGGAAACTAAGCCACCTACATACTCAGTATATTCCATTCAGCCAAAAGTGTTGCAGAGAGATATTTATATAATAATCATTGAGCTATTTAAAAATAATGACCCCAGAAAAACTTTTAACTCTATACAACTTGGAATAATATTAACATGTTTAAACTAGACGGGTTTGATCAATTCACTGAAAATTATTTAAAATATATATCATTGAGTCAAGAACTGAAACAAGTTTCATTCATAAACACAAAGGCATATAAAGATAGATGCTTATGACGTACTCTTATCAACTTCAATCGGGAATGAAATAGAAAAGCCTAAGTAAAATCTGTAATTCCAACGTAAAAGATGTTTCCTTACATTTAAGAAAAAAGTAAAATAATTGTCATGCGTATATTTTTGCACAGTTGTTGTTTTTTCTTGCACTTTTCACTCATTAAATTTTTTCAGGCCTTGGATTATTAATATGTTCTAGTCAAGAAAAAGGTCCTCAGCATTATGATTGATCAACATGTATTCAGTTTCACTAAAATTCAGTTGTATCTTGTGGGAATTGTATTGAAAAATGTTCAGTTCCTGAAGCATCAATTCAGTTTATGAACCTGAAAAATGGTTAAAAAATAAAGTGTGCTAGTTCCTTGGTCTGATTACCAGCAGAATTGGCAACATCAAGGGAAAGCTTAAGAAATTTAAACGCTTGGGATTAATTCTTGAACCATTTTTTAAAGAAAGAATCTCCTTTTTTTTTAATTCAAAGGGTATATATGCAGGTTTGTTACATGGGTATATTGTGTGATGCTGAGGTTTGAAATACCAATGGTCTCATCACAAATGTAGTGAACATACACCCAATAAGTAATTTTTTAGCCCATATCCTCCTTCTCTCTCCCTCCCTCACCCCCCCAGTAGTCCCCAGTGTTTGTTGTTCCCATCTTTTTGTCCATGTTTATTCAGTGTTTAGCTCCCACTCCTGAGTGAGAACATGTGGTATTTGGTTTTCTGTTCTTGTGTTAATTCACTTAGGATAATGGCCTTCTTATGTATCTGTGTTGCTACTAAGGACATGATTTTGTTCTTCTTTATGGCTGTATAGAATCCAATGGTGTATATGTACCACCTTTACTTTATCCAGTCCACCACTGATGAGTATGTAGGTTGATGTCTTTGCTTTTATGAACAGTGCTGTAATAAACATATGAGTACATGTGTCGTTTTGGTAAATCTATTTATTTTCCTTTGGGTCTATACCCAGTAATGGGATTGCTGGGTTGAATAATGGCTTTGTTTCAAATTCTTTGACAAAGCTTCAAACTGATTTATACAGTGGCTGAACTAATTTGCATTCCCACCAGTGTATTAAGTGGTCCCTTTTCTCTGCAGCTGGGACACCATCTTTTTTTTTTTATTTTTTTTAGATTCTAGTAATTTCAATTTTGACTGTTAAAATAAATCTCGGCAAATTGTGGTTTTGATTTGCATTTCTCCAATCATTGGTTATCAGGGAACCTGCCCCGATAGTCACATGGGTTCTTTTCTATTTTCCCTAAGCGTTGGCCAGTTTGAGAAATAAAGGGACAGAGTACAAAAGAGAGAAATTTTAAAGCTGGGCGTCCGGGGGAGACATTGCATGTTGGTAGGTTCCATGATGCCCCACAAGCCACATAACCAGCAAGTTTTTTATTAGGGACTTTCAAAAGGGTAGGGAGTATACGAATAGGTTGTGGGTCACAGACATCAAGTACTTCACAAGGTAATAGAATATCACAAGGCAAATGGAGGCAGGGCGAGATCACAGGACCACAGGACCAGGGCAAAATTAAAATTGCTAATGAAGTTTTGGGCACCATTGTCATTGATAACATCTTATCAGGAGACAGGGTTTTGAGAGCAACCGGTCTGACCAAAATTTATTAGGCAGGAATTTCCTCTTCCTAATAAGCCTGGGAGCGCTATGGGAGACTGGGGTCTATTTCACCCCTACAGCCTCAACCATAGAAGATGGCCACGCCCAGGGGGGCTGTCTATAGACCCACCCCCTGGCACGTATTCTCTTTCCCAGGGATGTTCCTTGCTGAGAAAAAGAATTCAGTGATATTTCTCCCATTTGCTTTTGAAAGAAGAGAAATCTGGTTCTGTTACGCCCGGCTCACCAGTGGTCAGAGGTTATGGTTATCTCTCTTATTCCCTGAACAATTGCTGTTATCCTGTTCTTTTTTCAAGGTGCCCAGATTTCATATTGTTAAAACAATCTGCTTACCCAACAATGATTGGCTACCAGCCTGAAGAGTGACACAGTAGGCTCATTGTGGGCCATGAGTGAATTTCAAGAGTGCAAGAGGTAGACTGTAGCAGATGTGGTAAATGTCTTGCCCTCTATGCTCATCTCTGAGTTTACCAGCAGCCATACATGCTGATAGCTTCTCAGTTCCAGTGCCTGCTTCCTATGTTCCTCTGACTGAAGGATTTAGCCACTGGAATCTGCTCAACCCACATTCAGTGAAGGCTGCATGTGCCAGGAATTTGGTGTCCACAGGGGAGTTCACAACGCATGAAAAACAGAAGTTAGCGGATATGTTCCACACTTCTCAATTCCTTGGTGTAACTTTGGTGTAACCTCGGCATAAGCACATTCTATGTGCTTCCTCAGAACTGTTAATAGGATCAAGCACCAGTCTCCCATAGCAGTCACCTGCTCATTTAGACATACTTAATCGGACTGTCTCCCTTTCATGGCTCACCTGTACTTCCCTCTCACTATTGTGATTACTTCCCACAACTACCTGCAACGAGATCTTGCTTTAGGACCTGGTGCAAAGGGAATCAAAATATTGACAATTACCATATTCATATTCTTCATCTTTCATTTCGCTATCTCAGACATTTGAATTTCTCTTCATATTTATTCTAGTCTTAAGCATTTATCATCTTATGAATTTTTCTTTATTTTTAAATTTCCTATCTCTTCTTGCTGATTTATAAGAATTCCATGCATATTCTTGGTATCATTTTCTTGTCTCTTTTGGACATTGCAAATATATTCTTTTAATATATCACTATCTATTAGATTCTTCAATGATATCTTTCACTGATATGAATCCTTAATTTTGATGTAATCATATTCATCTTTTTTTTTTTTTACTTTTTCTTTTTAAAACCTTAGTTGGATGACCCCTCTTTATAAAATTTATTTTTCTGGTTAGCAGGTTAGCTCACCTGTTAGTGGATGTTTGCTTCTCTATATAAATTTTGGAGTAAATTGATCAAGTTTTTTAAACAAATAGCTGCAATGTTGGTAGAGTTTATATTGATATTTAGGTTGTTTCATGGATATAGTTTATCTAAGTACATGGACTATATTTGCATTTATTCGGGTCACCTTCATGTTCTTAATGGCTAGTTTATATTCTAAAATATTTTTATTTTAATGCTTTCAAATGATTACTCCATAGTACTTTTTCTGTAATTTAAATATATACTGGCATCCACGGTTGTTGTCTAAAGATCTTATATCCATCTGATAATAGTGTTTTTCTTTTAAAGATGATGTTCTCTGTTTCTCAAAAGCTTTGAGAATTTTCTTTATATGCGTCATATTTATAAATAAACTGTTATGTGGCTTAGGTTTGGAATTTTTTCTATCTTGCCTACTTGTCATGCAATGAATCTTTTGAATTTGCCAATTTTCATCTTTCTCTAGGTCTGAGAAACACTTTCTTCTCTTCATTTGTGTTTCATTGGGTATGTCTACATCCCGATGCTGAAAATGCTGTAACTACCACCTTTCGTTTAGAAAGAGAGGCAGTGAAGAATACTTTTCTCTCCTCAATATTTCTTAAACCCTTTTGTAAATAGTGGTAAAAGGTAATGGACCTTTTAGGTTGTAATCCACCAGGTTCAGGAGTTTGGACAAGGAAGAATTGGATAAGTGAAAGAACCAGATGATCTGAACTGAAGACTCCAATAGGGCCTTTAGGCTGCTTTGATTTTACTCCAACTATTGGCTAAAAGACAATCAATATTTTTAACGACAATGTGAAGAAAAGCCAAGGGCAGACATTTACACATTTCTTTCGACCTGCCCTTTCTCTGCCCCTGGCTTCAAGTTACAACCACTATGTAAGAAATGCAAAATGCTTGTTCTCTGGTGCCGCAAAGAAATAGCACTTGAACATAAATTTAATTCTCTCAGCAAGGCAATTTTTACTTTCTGCAGAAAGAGTTCACTTGGCACCAGTCTTGCCACAAGAGTATACCGAACAAAGAAAAAGCAGACATATTTATCCCTTACGCATTTGGGTTGTCCTTAATGCTGTGTCCTGCATCCATTGGTTGGAGCCAAACCTCACAGTCTAAACTGACACCCGATTTGCTAACAACCTAAAACCTTTTTAAGTAGGTAAAGGTAAGGGAGAACAAAGGAAAAGAGGAAGTTGCTTACGATAGATTTAAAGAAGTAATAACATTTCTAAATAAGGAAGGGACGTAGGCTGTGAGCTGGAACATGCCTGTGAGCATGTTCAACAGCTACATAGAATAGGGCTTAGCAAAGAGTTATTAGCACAAAGCAAGGAGGCTTGAAGAAAGTTAGTCTTTAAAAGAAACTATTATTTCTAACATTTACGATTTATTCTTTAAGAAGGGAAACTTTGAAGAGGAAACTTTTTACTTTCTATAACTAGCCAATACATATTCCACTTCAAGGAAGCCTTTACTTTCTCTGAGAGTCTTTCATATTAGGTTTGTTAGTTTCTGTGATTCATATTTGCTCCTTTCTTTCATAATTTTTTCATCACTTTTGGAGCAGATCCAGCAAATTGTACTAGTTTACTATTTTGACCAGAACTGGAAAACATCCTCAGTAGTCCTAAGAATGCCTAAAGTTATTCCTTTCCTTATTACACCCCTCTATAAATTGTTTCAAGATTTGAAGCAATTCTTGCATGAGTGCATACATTAATCCAGCATCACTCTTGTTCTTTACAGGCATTTTCTTAAAATATGACAAAAAATCATTTATTTTGATCTCCATAATACAGTTTTATCCCAATCAAACTTATTTTAATAAGAGTATAGGATTGCCACAAAAGTTTAATTTTTTCTTCAGTAAAGTTATATAAATAAAACCTATTTTTAGTAGAACCCAAGACATTTTTCTAACACTATATGTTATCTATTAAAAATGTATTTGTCCATTTATAATACTTGCACAGTCCTTAGTGATATATTTCTTTATCAAAGCAATGAAATAGCAAAATCAATAACATTTTAAATAATTTTGGAAAGTATACATAAAAGTACACTACAATTTTTCTATATATTGAGCTAAACCAAATATCTAAAAACCTAAAAAGGAAAATAAAAGTTTTAATTTGAATATAAAAATTGAATGCTTAATAGGAAAAGTATTTGTGTAAGGTTGTGTTTTTTTCTGATCGTCACTTATTGAGACACTTTAGGTGATACACTAGAAGCTAACAGAGCAATAACTAAAATTAATTATCTCATTTCATATACATAATCACTATTAATACCTTGGTATATATCCATTCATGTATTTACATCACAACCATTCATACATACATTAATATGAACATATGCATGTAAAATATATCATATATAATCATTTAGCAAACCTTATTTTATAGTTTGTACTTTATTACTTAACTCTATATTTTTTCTTTATGGTCACCTGTTTCTCTTAAGCTTGATTTTTCTTTTTTTTTTTTTTTGAGATAGAGCCTCGCTCTGTCGCCCAGATTGGAGTGCAGTGATGTGATCTCCGCTCACTGCACCCTCTGCCTCCTGGGTTTAAGTGATTCTCCTGCCTCAGCCCCCCGAATGGCTGGGACTACACACATACACCACCACACCTGGCTAATTTTTGTGCTTTTTAGTAGAGAAGGGGTTTCATCATATTGGACAGGCTGGTCTCAAACTCCTGACCTTGTGATCCACCCACCTCAGCCTCCCAATAAGCTTGATTTTAATTAGTATATTTAGGCAATGCCAATTGTTGGACAATAATAATTATTTTATCAATCAGTGTATAATAGATATTTTTGGTAAAGCAGCTCAAAAATCTTAGTGGCTTATGAAGATAAGATATTATTACACATGTCTATAGCATGTCCAGTAAGAGGTTGCTAAGGCCTCTAATTCATATTATCTTGAATCTTGGATCCAGGTTGATGGAGGAGTCAAGATCTCTAATACTGCATGTGGCAGTGTTAGAGGGAGGGGAAGCATGAGAAACCATGTATTTACTAGTTTTTAAAATTTTCCTTGAGAGAAGACACATATATTATTTCCCCTTATTTTACGTGTCAAACATATGAATTTTTCTAATTATATTTGGCCAGGACTAACTATATATGACCATATCCAAATAAAAGGCAATTGGATATTAAAAGCTTACATGTTTCTTGAAAAAAAAATGAGAAGTAAAATACTTATGAACAACTCTGAAAACCAATGTCAACTTACCTCGAGTCTTCAAATATTCAGTTCACTCTCCTTCCAACTCAAAAACGCAGTCATTTTCTCCTGAAGAAAGACAATTTCATATGGTCACAGCATGGAACTCGAAGTACAAGCCTTCTGGATCATGAACAATAATATTTTCACTTAATGTTATTATAGTTATCAATATGGATGAAGATATTAAACTAAACATTTTTATTGAAGAACTGCTGCTTTAACATCTTAACAGATATAGTCAGTAGTTTTATCATCCCAAAATATGCAGCATATAATATTTCTATTAAATTAAATTCAATATAGTCACAGTATAGAAAATATTTGATTAAGTCAGTGGCAGAAAGAGTATTGACAATATTTCTTAGCAACATTGCATCAAGATTTCATCACCTCTTTTTTTTTATTTTGTTTTATACTTTAAGATCTAGGTTACATGTGCACAACGTGCAGTTTTGTTACATAGGTATACATGTGCCATGTTGATTTGATGAACCCACCAACTTGTCATTTACATTAGGTATTTCTCCTAATGCTATCCCTCCCCCAGCCCCCCACCACCTGACAGGCCTCAGGTGTGTGATATTCTCCACCCTGTGTCCAAGTGTTCTCATTGTTCAATTCCCATCTATGAGTGAGAACATGTGGTGTTTGGTTTTCTGTCCTTGTGACAGTTTGCTGAGAATGATGGTTTCCAGCTTCATCCATGTCCCTGCAAAGGACATGAACTCATTCTTTTTTATGGCTGCATAGTATTCCGTGGTGTATATGTGCCACATTTTCTTAATCCAGTCTTTCAATGATGGACATTTGGGTTGGTTCCAAGTCTTTGCTATTGTGAATAGTGCCACAATAAACATATGTATGCATGTGTCTTTATAGTAGCATGATTTATAATCCTTTGGGTATATACCCAGTAATGGGATGGCTGGATCACATGATATTTCTAGTTCTAGATCCTTGAGGAATCGCCACACTGTCATCCACAAAGGTTGAAATAATTTACACTCTCATCAATAGTGTAAAAGCATTCCTATTTCTCCACCTCCTCTCCAGCATCTGTTGTTTCCTGACTTTTTAATGATTGCCATTCTAACTGGCATGAGATGGTATCTCATTGTGGTTATGATTTGCTTTTCTCTGGTGACCAGTGATGATGAGCATTTTTTCATGTGTCTGTGGGCTGCATAAATGTCTTCTTTTGAGAAGTGTCTGTTCATATCCTTTGCCCACTTTTCGATAGGGTTGTTTTTTTCTTGTAAATTTGTTTAAGTTCTTTGTAGATTTTGGATATTAGCCCTTAGTCAGATGGATAGATTGCCAAAATTCTCCCATTCTTTAGGTTGCCTGTTCACTCTGATGGTAGTTTGTTTTGCTGTGCAGAAGCTCTTTAGTTTAATTAGATCCCATTTGTCTAATTTGGTTTTTGTTGCCATTGCTTTTGGTGTTTTCATCATGAAGAAGTCCTTGCCCATGCCTATGTACTGAATGGTATTGCCTAGGTTTTCTTCTAGAGTTTTTATGGTTTTAGGTCTAACATTTAAGTCTTTAATCCATCTTGAATTAATTTTTGTATAAGGTGTAAAAAAGGGATCCAGTTTCGGTTTTCTACATATGGCTAGCCAGTTTTCCCAGCACCATCTATTAAATAGGGAATCCTTTCCCCGTGTCTTGTTTTTGTCAGGTTTGTCAAAGATCAGATGGTTGCATATGTGTGCTGTTATTTCTGAGGCCTCTGTTCTGTTCCATTGGTCTGTACATTTGTTTTGGTACAGAATCATGCTGTTTTTGTTACTATAGCCATGTAGTATAGTTTGAAGTCAGGTAGCGTGGTGTCTCCAGCTCTGTTCTTTTTGCTTAAGATTGTCTTGGCAATATGGGCTCTTTTTTGGCTCCATATGAACTTTAAAGTAGTTTTTTCCAATTCTGTGAAGAAAGTCATTGGTAGCTTGATGGGCATGGCATTGAATCTATAGATTACCTTGGGCAGTATAGCCATTTTCACAATATTGATTCTTCCTATCCATGAGCATGGAATGTTCTTCCGTTTGTGTCCTTTTTTATTTTGTTGAACAGTGGTTTGCAGTTCTCCTTAAAGAGCTCCTTCACATCCCTTGTAAGTTGAATTCCTAGGTATTTTATTCTCTTTGAAGCAATTGGGAATGTGAGTTCACTCATGATTTGGCACTCTGTCTGTTATTGTTGTATAGGAATGCTTGTGATTTTTGCATATTGATTTTGTATCCTAAGACTTTGCTGAAGTTGCTCATCAGCTTAAGGAGATTTTGGGCTGAGACAATGGGGTTTTCTAAACATACAATCATGTCATCTGTAAACAGGGACAATATGACTTCCTCTTTTCCTAATTGAATACCCTTTATTTCTTTCTCTTGCCTGATTGCCCTGGCCAGAACTTCCAACGCTGTGTTGAATAGGAATGGTGAGAGAGGGCATCCTTGTCTTGTTCTGGTTTTCCAAGGGAATGCTTCCAGTTTTTGCCTATTCAGTATGATATTGGCTGTGTGTTTGTCATAAATAGCTCTTATTGAGGTATGTTCCATCAATACCTAGTTTATTGAGAGTTTTTATCATGAAGGGCTGTTGAATTTTATCAAAGGCCTTTTCTGCATCTATTGAGATAATCATGTGGTTTTTGTCTTTGGTTCTGTTTATATGCTGGATTACATTTATTGATTTGCATATATTGAACCAGCCTTTCATCCCAGGGATGAAGCCCACTTGATCATGGTGGATAAGCTTTTTGATGTGCTGCTGGATTCGGTTTGCCAGTATTTTATTGAGGATTTTTGCATCAATGTTCATCAGGGATATTGTTCTAAAATTCTTTTTGTTGTGTCTCTGCCAGGCTTTGGTATCAGGATGATGCTGGCCTCATAAAATCAGTTAGGGAGGATTCCCTCTTTTTCAGTTGATTGGAATAGTTTCAAAAGGAATGTTACCAGCTCCTCTTTGTACCTCTGGTAGAATTCAGCTGTGAATCCCTCTGGTCCGGGACTTTTTTTTGGTTGGTAAGCTGTGAATTATTGCCTCAATTTCAGAGCCTGTTATTGGTCTATTCAGAGATTCAACTTCTTCCTGGTTTAGTCTTGGGAGGGTGTATGTGTCCAGGAATTTATCCATTTCTTCTAGATTTTCTAGTTTATTTGCATAGAGGTATTTCTAGTATTTTCTGATGTTAGTTTGTATTTCTGTGGGATTGGCAATGATAGCCCCTTTATCATTTTTTATTGCATCTATTTGATTCCCCTCTGTATTCTTGTTTATTAGTCTGACTAGCGGTCTATCAATATTGTTGATCTTTTCAAAAAACCGGCTCCTAGATTCATTGATTTTTTTGAAGTTTTTTTTTTTTTTTTTATCTCTATCTCCTTCAGTTCTGCTCTGATCTTAGTTATTTCTTGCCTTCTGCTATTTTGAATTTGTTTGCTCTTGCCTCTCTAGTTCTTTTAATTGTGATGTTAGGGTTTTAGAACTTCCTGCTTTCTCTTGTGGGCATTTAGTGCTATAAATTTCCCTCTACACAATGCTTTAAATGTGTCCCAGAGATTCTGGTATATTGTGTCTTTGTTCTCATTGGTTTCAAAGAATATCTTTATTTCTGCCTTCATTTGTATCCCTGGTATGTTGTGTTTTTGTTCTCATTGGTTTCAAAGAACATCTCTATTTCTGCTTTCATTTCGTTATTTACCCAGTACTCATTCAGGAGCAGGTTGTTCAATTTCCATGTAGTTGTGCAGTTTTGAGTGGGTTTCTTAATTTGAGTTCTAATTTGACTGCACTGTGGTCTGAGAGACAGTTTGTTGTGATTTCTGTTCTTTTACATTTGCTGAGGAGTGCTTTACTTACAATTATGTGATCAATTTTAGAATAAGTGTGATGTGGTGCTGAGAAGAATGTATATCCCATTGATTTGGGGTGGAGAGTTCTGCAGATTTCTATTAGATCTGCTTGGTGCAGAACTGAGCTTAAGTCCTGGATATCCTTGTTAACCTTTTGTCTCGTTGATCTGTCTAATATTGACAGTGGGGTGTTAAAGTCTCCCGTTTTTATTGTGTGGGAGTCTAAGTCTCTTTGTAGGTCTCTAAGGACTTGTTTTATGAACCTGAGTGCTCCTGTATTGGGTGCATATATATTTAGGATAGTTAGCTCTTCTTGTTGAATGGATCCCTTTACCATTATGTAATGGCCTTCTTTGTCTCTTTTGATCTCTGTTGGTTTAAAGTCTGTTTCATCAGAGACTAGGATTGCAACCCCTGCTTTTTTATTGCTTTCCATTTGCTCGGTAGATATTCCTCCATCCCTTTATTTTGAGCCTGTGTGTGCCTCTGCACGTGAGATGGGTCTCCTGAATACAGCACACTGATGGGTCTTGACTCCATATCCAATCTGCCAGTCTGCATCTTTTAAATGGGGCATTTAGCCCTTTTACATTTAAGGTTAATATTGTTATGCGTGAATTTGATCCTGTCATTATGGTGTTAGCTGGTTATTTTGCCCATTAATTGATGCAGTTTCTTCATAGCATCAATGGTCTTTACAATTTGGCATATTTTTGCAGTGGCTGGTACTGGTTGTTCCTTTCCATGTTTAGCGCTTCCTTCAGGAGCTCTTGTAAGGCAGGCCTGGTGGTGACAAAAATCTCTCAGCATTTGTCTGTACAGGATTTTATTTCTCCTTCACTTATGAAGTTTAGTTTGGCTGGACATGAGATCCTGGGTTGAAAATTCTTTCCTTTAAGAATGTTGAATATTGGCCCCCACTCTCTTCTGGCTTGTAGGGCTTCTGCTGAGAGATCTGCTGTTAGTCTGATGGGCTTCCCTTTTTGGGTAACCCAACCTTTCTCTCTGGCTGCCCTTAACATTTTTTCCTTCATTTCAACCTTGGTTAATCTGATGATTATGTTTGTCTTGGGGTTGCTCTTCTTGAGGAGTATTTTTATGGTGTTCTCTGTATTTCCTGAATTTGAATTTTGGCCTGCCTTGCTAGGTTGGAGAAGCTCTCCTGGATAATATCCTGAAGAGTGTTTTCCAACTTGATTACATTCTCCCTGTCACTTTCATGTACACCAATCAAATGTAGATTTGGTCTTTTCACATAGTCCCATATTTCTTGGAGGCTTTATTCATTTCTTTTTACTCTTTTTTCTCTAACCTTGTCTTCTCACTTTATTTCATTCATTTGATCTTCAATCACTGATACCCTTTCTTCCACTTGATCGAATTGGCTATTCAAGCTTGTGCATGCATCACAAACTTCTCATGGCATGGTTTTCAGCTCCATCAGGTCATTTAAGGTCTTCTCTACACTATTTATTCCAGTTAGCCATTCATCTAACCTTTTTTTCAAGGTTTTTAGCTTCCTTGCTTTAAGTTTGAACTTGCTCCTTTAGCTCGGAGAAGTTTGTTATTACTGACCTTCTGAAGGCTACTTCTGTGAACTTGTCAAAGTCATTCTCTGTCCAGCTTTGTTCCATTGCTGGCGAGGAGCTGTGAGCCTTTGGAAGTGAAGAGGTGCTCTGTTTTTTAGAATTTTTAGCTTTTCTCCTCTGGTTGCTCCCAATCTTTGTGGTTTTATCTACCTTTGGTCTTTGATGTTGGTGACCTACAAATGGGGTTTTGGTGTAGATGTCCTTTTTGTTGATATTGATGCTATTCCTTTCTGTTTGTTAGTTTTCCTTCTAACAGTCAGAGCCCTCAGCTGGAGGTCTATTGGAGTGAGCTGGAGGTCCACTCCACACCCTGTTTGCTTGGATATCACCAGCAGAGGCTGCAGAACAGCAAATATTGCAGAAGAGCAAATATTGTTTCCTGATCCTTCCTCTGGAAGCTTTGTCCCAGAGGGGCACCCATCTGTATGAGGTGTCTGTTGGCCCCTACTGGGAGGTGTCTCCCAGTTAGGCTACATGGTGGTCAGGGACCCACTTGAGGAGGCAGTCTGTCCGGTCTCAGAACTCAAACACCATGCGGGAGAAACACTGCTCTCTTCAGAGCTGTCAAACAGGGATGTTTAAGTCTGCAGAAGTTTCTGTTGCCTTTTTTTCAGCTATGCCCTGCCCACAGAGGTGGTCTGTAGAGGCAGTAGGCCTTGCTGAGCTGCAGTGGGCTCTGCCCAGTTTGAGGTTCCAGGTGCTTTGTTTGCCTACTCAAGCCTCAGCAATGGTGGACACCCCTCCCCCCGCCAGGCTGCAGTCTCACAGGTTGATCTCAGACTGCTGCCCTAGCAGTGAGCAAGGCTCCATGGGTGTGGGACCCACTGAGCCAGGCACAGGAGAAAACCTCCTGGTCTTCCAGTTGCTAAGACTGTGGGAAAAGCATAGTATTTGGGCAGAAGCATACGGTTTTTCCAGGTACAGTCTGTCATGGCTTCCCTTGTCTAGGAAAGGGAAATACTCCAATCCCTTGGGCTTCCTGGGTGAGGCGACACCCTGCCCTGCTTTGGCTCGCCCTCCGTGGGCTGTACCCACTGTACAACCAGTCCCAATGAAATTAACCAGGTACCTCAGTTAGAAATGTAGAAATCACCCATCTTCTGCATCGATCATGCTGGGAGCTACAAACCGGAGCTGTTCCTATTCAGCCATCTTGGAACGGGCTCATCACCTCTTTTACACTGGTTAGGAATATGTAACTATCAAAAGAAAAATCATCAATATTTGTGCCAAAGTATCTCATCAGGGAAACAAATTGTTTATTTCCCCTAGTAATCTACCCAAATTTACCATACCTTTGACAGAGAGTTAGATTGTGTTTATTTTTCAAATTCCTGATATACTAGTTTTATTGCCTAGGGGGTGGTTGATAGTACTAATTTATATTTCAACATCAGTTGTACTTTCTTCCCCTTTATCTTTTTCGCCATGTTTATTGATTATTCTGTCTACTGATTGAAGGTCTTATTATTCCTTTGCTATTTTTAAAAGTTGATTAAAAAAAAGATAATTTCATAGTCTGCTCTTCCCTAAACTCTCCATTTTTCTTGTGAATTCTGTTGAGACCACCACAATTTTTAGTTGGTATTTCTATTTGGTATGTCAAAATTTGTACATTTTGTATTTTTACTCAGTTATGAGGCTTAACAGAATCAGAAATCAAAACCCTATAAATTCATCTTCATACCTATTTGATGCTCCGTAGTCTGATATATTTGGTAGTGTTAAATTATTTGATTAGTTTTGTTGTATAAGATATATTCACTTAAAATATTTTTGATGTGCAATCACAAGTACATATAAGCAATTTCTCCTACAAATTCTCAGTAGAAGTGATGTAATGTGCTAAATTTATTCTGACATTCTCCATAAACATTAGCAATAGCATTTTTAGTGTTACATGTCTGGGCAAAGTTCGTTTTGCTTACTTAAGGCAGTGATATCACTGTGTCAATTGTCTCCATAACTGAAGAGTTGCTCATTTTAACCCTGGCTATATATAGCAAATGCCCAAGTTTATCATCTTGGATAACTGCTCAGCATTAAAAATAATGTTGAATCTTCTGCCCCTTCTTTTTTATACCAGCAGTGTTCCCACTTGTCTTTAATATTCTTTCTGAGATCATATTCGAGCTCTTTCTTTCCTTAACTCAGTGGAAAAATTGCTGTATCTTTGGGAACATTGAGATCCAATGGTATTGATATAAAACCAGAAAATCTATTAACAGTAGAGAAAGTAACTGTGAAATCCTAGTAAAATGGCAATACAGAGCATTGCTACTGATTTTGCTTCCCAATTCAATACCAACTAGTAACGTCTCTATGATTAAACAGCTTTTTATGGTCTACGAGTTAGGGTAAAAATTGTGGTCTAGTGAAAAGAGAAAAGTTATAAGATGTTTTTCCCTTAGAGCAAATGATTGCTGAAATACCACAGGTGGAATGTCTCAGGATATGCATTCATAAACAAAGATTCTGGAGACTCTCTGCCTTGAGCAGATCTATGAAGTATGGGTAAGAAGGGTGGCATTCTCTTTGTTCCCCAAGGAGTTGAAAAATAGTAAATCAGATAGGCTGAAGATTCTCTTACCCTAAAGCTGGGAATGCTCTAATTTTGCGGCTAACATTATAAGGAAAAACACTGCTTAGTGCCTGGACAAAGGAACCGACAAGTTTTAAGCTGGTTTAGCTCTGGCACACACAGAGGAAGATTTAATTTCCACCACTCTTAGGAACAACTTCAGTGAATAACTGAAGCCAAATTCCAAGAGGTACTTAAAATACTCTGACAATGTACTTAATATGTTCCAGCAGACAGAAAATAAACAAAAAAAGAACTAGCAGTAAAGTAGGGTTACAGGAAGAAACAGGTGGCAATTTGAACAATGGGGAGACAGAGAGAAAAGGGAGAGAGAGAAATGGAGAGAGAAAGAGCAAAAGATTCCTTTTAGGGATGTCAAATAAAAATCAAATCCAAAACTAGTATGGAAAGATTTTATTTGCAAAGATTATTGCAAGTGGGGGAAAAAGCACTACTGTAACAGCATCTCCCCTGTTTGGCTATTGTGACCAGAAGAATAATCTGAATATAAAATATGCAAATAACCCAAGGGATAGAAGAAAAAGAATTTTTTCTTCATAAAGACAAGTGAACAAGGTAAAAAAGAATGAGCTATGGGCATGTGGGATAAACGAAAGAATCATGACTGGACAGTAGATCAGAGAATGTTTTACCTGGAGGCCAGCCTACTCTCAGGAGAGACTGGTAAAGAGGGATTGAATGCTAGTTAAGGCTGAGAGTGAGTGAAAATTCAAGAACCCTGAAGGAAGGAAATAATCTTAACCAAAGTTTGGTCAATAGAAATTTTATTCTGAATCATCAGCTAATTATTTATGAGGCAAAAAATGGAAATATGAAAGGTGTATGTCTGGTCTCGTCATAAGTGCACACGGTGGCATCCAAAGTTTTATCTAAGTTAATATGGGGAAGGGAGCTTCTTTGCAGTATGTTGTTTCCCAGAACAAGAAAGAAAGGCTGTGTGGGGATAGGGTGAAGGTGGGAGGAGGGGAGCGAGTGAATAGTGAGGTGTGTGTGCAATTTCTTAACTTCCACTTTTTATTAGTATTACAGGGCTCAAATAAGATTAAATGTCAGGGAGATGTTTTTATAGCACAATAAAATTGTGTAAGACTTATACTTTTTGTCTTGCAAACAATCAGGCGATAAAAAGAAAGAATAGTCACTGTTGGATAACTAAATTCTTAACTGAAAGACCACATGTTAGAAATATCATAAAACTTAGACCAAAATTTGAGAAATAAAGCAATGAACAAAGAGGTAAAAGAATTAGAGTACAAATAGTGACTATCAATGTGGAAAAAAATTTAAAATAGTCATGAAGCATCTTTTAAAATGATAAAATTAAGGAGAGACAAATATGTTAGAAGCTATAAATAAAACTTATTGATATGAAATTTTACAGTTTGTTTACCCAAATTCAAGGCAAGATTAAAAAAAATGTACACAAACAAGCACTCCTATAAGCAGATATTAGTAAAAAAAATTAATTTTGGGGGGTCAACAGAAAATATTGCAAGCCTCCAATTAGATAACGTAATTGATTTGTAGAAGTAGAAATAATGAAACTGATATTAGGTTTCCTAGCTGCAGGACTGGAAGCTGGAAGACTATAGAATAGCATCTACATAATAATACAAATACACCTGAAACTCAGTGTCCATATATGCAACTAAAAATATATCATTCATCAGTCACGATAATAGATATTTGCCAAGTTCAAGAATTCAGAGATTATATCACTCATGCCCTATACCAAAAAACAATTAGTAAAAAGACATCGAAATAATGCATTAATCAAAATAATGCATTAACCCAGGCTAAAACTTGAAATAGAGGAAGATGAAGAAAGAAAGATTGTGGTGAGCAATCAACCTTTTTGCATATATCTCTATCTATCTATCTATCTATGTATCTATCTATCTATCTAGTCTATCTATCTGTTGCAATCTAAATTAAATCTTATTAATGGAGTGCCTCAGATTGTAATATTTATGCTGAACAGGATCCTTGAAACAAAATAGACATAATATTTAGTTTAGTGCAAAAGTGATTGTGAGTGTTGTCATTACTTTATATACCTTAACAAGAATAATAGAAACTGCCAAACCTCAGAGCCAGACAGGCGGAAGGTGAGGAGTGATATATTTCAAGGTGACACCAGAGTGGGTGGAGAGTACAAAAGTCACATTAGTTTAATACTTAACTCTTATACACTTATCTCTAGGAGGAAAGCAGTGAAAAAATAGATTTGTACAGGGAAACCACTAAATTAACTTGTGGGAAAGACAACAATGAATAGTAATATGGTTCACACTGGCCAAAGTAAAGAATTTTGGGAGAAAAATTAAACAAGATAATTAAAGTATGATTAAAAGTAAATCTAATATGTATACTATTAAATTAAATGTAAGTGGGTCATTGATTATCAGAGATTATCCTACTGAATTAGGGAGAATAAAGAGTTACATGGTGCTTGAAATGACAAAAACCAAGTGCAAAGATGCACAATAGACAACCACATAAAAACAAATATTAAATGGCACTGTTAATATCAGATATGGGCAAGTTAATGGTAAGATTATTAAATAAGATAAATATGCACACTATATATTGATTAGAAGCTTAATTAATGAATTAGAGATACTAGATTGATCCACATACTTACATGCGCACCCCAAAATATCAATGAAATATACAAAGTCAAAACTATGAAAAATTCAGAGTAAAGAGAAATAAAACTTGGAAAGCAAAAATTTAGTGCATATTATTTTAATAAGTAGACTATTTAATATTCCAGTTACTAATTGTATATTCAAAATAAAATTAAGTTATTGATGGCACTAATATATAGAAATTTTTGTATTCATTATTTAAATGGAGAATATAAAGAGAATATTCATTTTTTGTGTTTCCAGGGAACATTTTCACACATAGTCTTTGAGAAAAGTTTAGCAAATTCTCTTATCAGTGAACTCCAAAAGAAAAATGCATATAAAAAATACCATATATTATTATTTTCAAACCAAGACACAAATTTCTGAATTACCTTAGAAAGAAGAAGAGACGAACCCTAAAATTCAATCTATCTGAAAAGCAATGAAAAGGAGAGAACACTTTAAACCAAATTCTAAGCCTGAGAATTTTGAGGAATGGTGTCATTATTGTAAACATAATTAGGTGGTGAGCCCAATTTTAGCCAGAGCAAACTAACAAAGTCTCTGAAACTTGGTGTGGAGCTACTGAATTGGAAAATGTAGTTTTTACCATTATGATTGGCAAAGACAACTCAGAGAATGAGAGATGAGAAGAGAGACATCACCTTCTCTGCATTGCATTGTAGCTCACAGCAGCTACATTTCCTCATGGCTCCACCTCTTGCTTGACTGGCCCACCTGTCAGGCAAACTGGCCTCTTCTTTTACTAGAAGAGTAAAAGAAGTTAACAAAATACCACAGATGGAGTAACTTAGCAGAATTTTAGCATTATTCTAGCATTATTTTCTGCTAGAAGCCTATGATTAAGGTGTCAGTCTATCTGCTTAAAGAGTCTATTCTTGGTATGCAGATGGCCACTTTAGTGCTATGGCTTCACATGGTCCTTTCTCTGTGTATACAAGCATTTCTCAGTATCTTTTTATGTGTCCAACTTTCATTTTCTTCTAAGGACCCAAGTCAGATTTGATTAGGGGCTACCTTAATGGCCTCATTTTAATTTAACCACCCCTTTAAAGGCTCTACATCCAAACAGTCACATTCTGAGGTACTAGAAGTTAGGGCTTTAACACATGAACTTGAGAGGAATACAATATTGTTCGTACCACTCTTTTATTTGCTCTTCAGCCTAGGAGTGGTAGCAGTGTCTGGCTGTGGTTAATCACTCATAATTTTGTGTTAGCATTGTTGCTTTTTGATCACCTTTGCTTTTTACTTTTGGAAAAATTTTGGAATTATACTTCACTTCATTATTAATTTTAATACTTTAAGAATAAAGTCAGTGACCAGTAGTCCCTGAAAATTCTGATCATTTCCCTTTCCCCAGTGCACAGTTATCCTGGTAAAAGGCTGGAGGTCTCTTTGGGGAAGGATGGGAGAAATATTCACTGCATAAATTGTCAGTAATGTAGTGGGGTCCTTCCTCAAGGGAACCAGGCCTCCCCTTCATTCAAGGGGTTCTGGGTCTGTAAACCTGGCTCAAGTCTAGAAATTGATTGAGGAGTTGTGATTCTCCTTTGTCCATTCGACCTAGAAGTTTTCTCCTTGTATAAATTAAGTAGAGATGGAGTAGGCTTCCTATCAATTTCACTTCTAGGAACACTGCGATTAGTTAGCCAATGCAAGAGCTCTACATGAGTCAGAGTATTCTGATTCCCACTTTGCCTCTGCTATCCACTATGGTAGCTACGCCCACCTTGCCTTTAACGGTTGAGAGCCAACACTTGGCTTCTGCCACCTCAGGATCCAGTTATTCCTATTGTATTTAAATATTGCAGTTGAGTGACTGCAGTTCCCACTATTAGATCTGATGCATAGAGAAGAGCAATTACAGGGCTCTTCAAAGATGCAGGTGCTGCTCTCACAAATCTATTTTGCAAGGCATTGGTCAAGAGTATATCTTCTGTACCTTCCCCGCTGGGATGAGTAGATGCAAAGTGACTAATCCACTCCACCATCCCAATCTCCTTAAACCTTTGGATAACTTCTTCTACATTAAACCAAGGGAGATCAGGCATTTCTGGCTCACTCACAGTGGACCATCTTTTAATACACATTTCAGCTAACCAAACAAATAAACTATTAGAACTTTTTTTTAACTCCCCAAGCTGCAACATTGAACGCAGAGTTCCTATTTAGTGAGCCCAAATCAATAAATTCAGCCTGATCCAGCTGTATGTTCCTTCCACCATTATCTCACACCCTTAATATCTATTCCCATACTTGTTCTCTAGATTTCTATTTATAGATATTAGAATACTCAAGCAGTTTTTGTTTTTTTTTTTAGAGTCTGTCTCTGTTGCCTAGCCTGCATTGCAATGGCACTATCTCGGCTCACTGCAACCTCCGCCTCCCAGGTTCAAGCAATTCTCCTGCCTCAGCCTCCTGAGTAGCTGGGATTACAGGCACATTCCACCATGTCAGGCTAACTTTTTGTAGTTTTTTTAGTAGAGACCTTTAGCAGGTCAGCCACTCACATGATAAAAGCTCGTGACTGTTTCTCCACAATTTCAGCTCTTTCTCTGCAGGAGATAAGCCTCTCATTCAGGGCAGTCTTAGCAGATTCGAGGCTCAATATCTGCTTCTGAAGCTGGGAGACAGAATCCCTGAGTTCATCATTTTCTTTCATCACTTTGTCCACTGAACTTAGGAGCAAATAAACAGCTTCATTTTGTTGCTTGGTTCTCTACATATGGTCAAAGGTATTATGTACAGAGTCACTAAACTCCTTGCCTCTCATGAGCAATAAATCAGGAGTGTCAAATGCATTTATTCTGCATAACTCTCTAAACAGTTCATGCCAAGGACTACCAGTGTTCTCCATACAATTAGAAGTAGAGTCCTTAGCAATTTGGGGTCTAATCATATTAAGCAGCCAAATCCAGAAACCCCAAAACCAATGAAAGAACTCCATCCTTAATATTCTTTTCCTCTAGAACCACTCCTTGTACCAAAATCTGTATTAGCCAGGATTCTCTAGAGGGACGGAACTAATATATATGGGAGTATATATATATATATATATATATATATATATATACACACACACACACACATATATACACATATATAATAAAAACATATATAAACTCCCATGTATATTTACATATATATATCAGAGTTTATTAAGTGTTAACTCACATGATTACAAGGTCTCACAATAGGCTGTCTGTAGGCTGAGAGGCAAGGAGAGCCAGTCTGATTTCCAAAACTGAAGAACTTGGAGTCTGATGTTTGAGGGCAGGAGCATGCAGCATGGGAGAAAGATGCAGACTGGGAGGCTAGGCAATCTCTCTTTTCACATTTTTCTGCCTGCTTTATATTCTAGCCATGCTGGCAGTTGATTAGATTGTGCTCACCCAGATTAAGGGTGTGTCTGCCTTCCCCAGCCCACTGACTCAAATGTTAATCTCCTTAGGCAACACCTTCACAGACACACCCAGGATCAATACTTTGTATCCTTCAATCCAGTCAAGTTGACACTCAGTATTAACCATCACAATTGTTTTAGAAAATTTGCCTTTAAATGCACTTCACCCACAATGGTGGCACAATGTATTTTGAGTAATGCATGGATAGGCAGAGGCAAAAGAGACAAAGAAAAAAAATGAAAACTTTGTAACTTTTAAAGACCCCCACTGACCACATCCCAATTTTCTTCAATTATCATATTTTCTCTTCTACTGAGTCTCTTCTTCATTGACTTTCCCCAAATCGGCACATCTATACCATCTTTGAGAGAAATCCTTCAAGTTCTGTGGCCAATAATCCTGCATTAAACATCACACCCTTGATTCTTTGTAATTTGAGATAACTGCGTTGTGCTTTTCTTCCTTTCTTTTTTTTTTTTTTTTTTTTTTTTTTTTGACAGAGTCTCGCTCTGTCACCCAGGCTGGAGTGCAGTGGCACGATCTCGGCTCACTGCAACCTCCACCTCCCAGGTTCAAGAGATTCTCCTGCCTCAGCCTCCCAAGTAGCTGGCACTACAGGCAAGTGCCACCACCCCTGGCTAATTTTTTGCATTTTTAGTAGAGATGGGGTTTCACCGTGTTAGCCAGGATGGTCTCGATTTCCTAACTTCGTGATCTGCCCATCTCAGCCTCCCAACGTGCTGGGATTACAAGGGTGAGCCACCGTGCCCGGCCCCAGTGTTGTGCTTTTCATACCATGGAATACTATGAAGCAGTAACATTGAAGGGACCAGAATGAATTCGTATCACAAATATAATAATAGTGAGCCAAATAAGCAAATTGAAAAATATAGAGGATATGATTCATTTATATAAAGCTAGGATCAGGCAAAAGTAAACAATATTTTAAAGGCATAAAAACATATAAAATTATGAAGAACAGCAAGTGGATAATAAATACAAAAATTTGTGGTGGTGATTCCCTTTGGGGTAAAGGAAGGGGTTCACAAAAGGATTCAAAGTTCTTGCAATGTTCCATTTTAAGCTAACTAGTGTATATAGTTGTTCTTTTATTTTCACCTAACACATGTGTTATGTTGTTTAATATGTATACGATATTTAGTAAAAAATTTAAAATCAAACAGAAAAAGTTAAATTTTTCTTGGGCTCTATCAATTATATTTCATCTTTCTTCATCTTTTATATTCTTTGAAGGGATATGGAAAACTAATCATTTAACAAAAGTTAATTAATTAATTAATTTTTATTATTTTTTTAAGTTTTAAGTTTATAGGTACATGTGCAGGTTTGTAATGTAGGTAAACTTGTGTCACTAGGGCCTATTGTAAGGTGGAGGGTGGGAGGAGGCAGAAAATCAGGATAAATAATTAGTGAGTATTAGGCTTAATGCCTGGGTGATGAAACAATCTGTACAGCAGACACCCATGATGCAAGTTTACCTATCTAACAAACCTACACATGTACTCCTGAACTTACAAGTTATATAAAAAAATAGAGAAAGTATTTTTTTAAGTATTTTGTCTTGAGAGTACCTTACGTCTTTATACTACTAAGATTTTATACATAGGTTTGCTGAATATCAAATTTGCATTATATAGATTTATATCTTTCAGGACTTAGAAGATTTTGCAGTTTTAAAGGCAATGCTTAGTCTAAAGTACCGCTATTAATAGTGTATTTAGGTTTCATGAACCATGACATTATCAGAGGAACATCTTTAAGACAAACTTTTTCATTTTATGGAGGAAGTGTCTCAGAGCCCTGAATTTTATGTTAAAACAAAATTTCAAACAGAGTAATATCAAAACAGAATCAAGCAAAATGAACTAAATTTAACATTGTAATTGTCTTTTTAATTGCTACATGTACACAAAATTACAGCTTTGTACATATGATTGCTACATATACATAGACTTACAGCTTTGTACATATCTATATAATAGATTCTTAAAGTCTTCACTAAAAATTTTGGGGCAGCAATAATTTACACAGAAATATTAAAGTTAAATTATTAATACAAAAGTAAATATTCCCTTAGTGATTATAACATTAGCAATATAGTGATAGGACTGCAATAGCATAGTGTATTAGTTTACCAGGGCTGCTGTAACAAGGAATCACAAACTGATAGTTTAAAAAAGCAAAAATTTATTGTCTTACAGTTCTGGAGGCTAAAAGTCCAAATTCAAGGTAGCAGCAAGGTTGATACCTTCTGAGTGCTGCAAGGCAAAAATCAGTTCCATGTTTCTCCTCTTGTCTTGCAGATGGCTTCTCTTCATGTCTCTTTACAGTGTTTTACCTATACGTATGCCTATCTCTATGTCCAATTTCCTCGTTTTATAAAGACACCAGTCATATTGTATTAGGGTCCACCAAATGACAATTCAAGGAATAAAAATATGCCTTAGGCTTTCTCCAAGATTCATACTTAAAATATGAAGTAAGTAATTTTTAATACTTAGCTATATGGAAAAATGTACAATAGTATGCAAAAAATTATTTTAAAAATGTCTAAGGTAAAACTTTCTAATCTTTCATTCAGATCTCTAGCTTCCCCTTTCTGAATTGTGGGAATATTTCCCTAAATATGTGTACTGATGGTAGTGTTTTAATTTATTTGTCCCAATGGGATCAAGCATATTTTCTTTTAAATATGCTGAGAGAAATGGCACTTTTGGTAAATACTGAATCTTGTTTTAATGAAGATGTAAAATTTAAAAATGTGAAGTTTAGCTTGATCATGGAACATGTTATCCCATATATTATCACACCTTTAATTTGGATACTTGGTAGGTAGAAATGATAACATTTGACATACTTTAAAATTGCCTACAAGTGGCAATTTTATATGATTTAACTTAGTAAGGATGAAAAACAAAGAAGATAATGTTTCACAACCCTCATCTCCCAAAGGAGAGTCCAGAGAGGAGGCACACCAGTTTAAAATACTACATAGATCAAAACTGCATCTTTTCCCTTGTCGCCACATCTTAAGAAAAAGAAAATACTAAAATAAGTCTAGGAAGGATTCAAGGACCAATGCAGACAGCATGGACCATAATGCAACATTGTGTAATAAAGAATTTACTTTACCTAAAGAGAGGTCTCGATTCTGTCCAGCGCTTAGGAGGTGACCTTTTAAACCTTTGAAATTTTCCAAGGGAGAAGAGTGCCTTTGCTATTGATTGTAGGCCCCTCAGACCACAACTTCATATTTTATGCGAAGAAGGTGACTCTTGGTGGGCACCTAGACATTTTATGCTAACACAATGAGTATGGATGGTGGCCATGTCAGAAACATGAATTATATGGTTTTCCCAACTGGAGCTCTAAATCATGTGCTATCAGTTCAAACTCTGGGAAGATGAGGGGCTGGATATTAAGTTCAACCGCATGGGCAATGACTCAATCAATTACACCTTTGTAAAGGATGAGCCTACCTGGTTGGCAACACTCTTTGAGCAGTGTCACATCAGGATGTGGAAAGGGACTTTTCAGATGGAACCTTGAGAATGATAAAAGCTTCACATTTCACATTTAATTCTTTGAGTCTTCACCTTATATGTATTTCTTTGGCTGATTCTCATTTTTACCCTTTTGCTATAATAAAACTGTAATTGTATGTATGGCACTCTTCTGAGTTCTGTGAGTCATTTTAGCAAATTATCAAACCTGAAGGAGTCTGTAGGCAATGCTGGATTTGTAGTCAGTTGGTCTGAAATGAGGGTCATCCTAGAAATCCCTGAACTTGGAACTGATAACAGAAGTCTTGGACAGACTCAGCAGTCTGGAAGACTGTGTCATTATTCTTATCACTATTTAGTTTTGAGACAGGATCTCACTCTATCGCCCAGGCTGGCTGGAGTGCAGTGGCACAAACAGGACTGATTGCAGCCTTGACCTTCTGGGGTCAAGTGATGCTCCTGCCTCAGCCTTCTGAGTAGCTGAGACCATAGGTATATGCCACCACACCTGGCTAATTTTTCAAATATTTTACAGAGGTAGGATTTTGCTATGTTGCTCACACTGATCTGAAACTCCTGGGCTCAAGTGATACTCCCACCTCAGACTCCCAAAGTGTTGGGTTTAGAGGTGTGAGCCATCACTCCAAGCCTGAAGGACTGTATTCTTTACCTCTAGTTTGACCTAACTTCATGTAATCACAAAGTAAGTAAACCAAAGACAATTTTAGCAGTAGATGTGCAGAACCAGTTAGAGACTGGAGAAACAGAGAAGCTGAAAAGTTAAAGAAGTGCTTTAGCTAAAAGACATAGGTTTGTCATATGGAGGACTATGTTTACGGTTTAGTTTTTATGAGATATTACTTTCATTTATTTGAATTGACTGGCTCCTTTTAAAGGAGTGGGGATGCATCGATTTCATTTAAATTCCAGGCTTTGCTGTAATCTTATCTTTTTTTTTAATTATACTTTAAGTTCTAGGGTACATGTGCACAACGTGCAAGTTTGTTACATAGGTATACATGTACCGTGTTGGTTTGCTGCACCCATTAACTCGTCATTTACATTAGGTATTTCTCCTAATGCTATCCCTCCCCCATCCCCCCACCCCATGACAGGCCCCAGTGTGTGATGTTCCTCACCCTGTGTCTAAGTGTTCTCATTGTTCAATTCCCACCTATTAGTGAGAACGTGCGGTGTTCGGTTTTCTGTCCTTGTGATAGTTTGCTCAGAATGATGGTTTCCAGCTTCATCCATGTCGCTACAAAGGACATGAACTCCTCCTTTTTTATGGCTGCATAGTATTCCATGCTGTATATGTGCCACATTTTCTTAATCCAGTCTATCATTGATGGACATTTGGGTTGGTTCCAAGTCTTTGCTATTGTGAATAGTGCCACAATAAACGTACGTGTGCATGTGTCTTTATAGTAGCATGATTTATATAAATCATGTAATCTTATCTTCTTCAGTTTCTGCTGGACCATAAAACACAAATACCTTTGATAATTTATTTAAATGGGAGGTGTTTCCCATTGTGATCATTCTAAACTATCTTTCTTATGAATTCTCATCATCTCATTGTACTCAATAGAACAAAATCTATTTCATTTTCTGATAAGTCTTCAACTTGTTTACCTTCAACTGTTAGGGAACTCTTATGTAAAAACTTGCCATTTATTGTACAAGGAAATAGGGAAATGCTGAGCAATAAATTACGAAAAGTCATCAGATCATTCATTTATTCAGTTATACTGACATCATACTATCAGAAATTTTTTAAAAGATTGGCCTTTTTATAGACCTGCAATAAAGAAAGCAATAAATAAAATGGTTACCAACCTCAGGCTGGGTACCATTATGTACATGGTTCTTTAATACATCAGATGTGTTTCTTTTATACAGGTTTTCTTTAATAGAGTAGATCCAAAAACTTGTCTAAGAATGGCCTGGAGTCTTGTGATGGAAGTTCCTTATGAAAGATTCTCCTTTCTTATGTCCTTGTAGGGTAAAAGAGACTTGGGAACACTCAATTAGGGAGAGTAAAATGTACCTTCAAGCTTTATACTTCAGAAAGGATTTTTTTTGAGATAGATGTTCAAAATAAAATACTGGAAAGGATCACATTATTTTACACATAAAATGTTTAATATTTTTTATAAAGAATCATACACTTTGAGAAAGTCAGGGTTGCTGCAGCTTTCCAACAAATACAGTGCAGGTAATTTATTTTTTCATAAGCATTTTCCAGACTTATTGATATGCTTATGTGTAGAATTGTCTTCTTATTGCTTGCCTTAATTCATCATTAGTGATTATCATGTTCCAGACTTCCCATCACGGTTTCCACTTTCAATCCCAAAGCCATTCATTTGGGAGTGATTATCCTTATCTCCCTGATGCAATACCATTTTCGTCTTTCAATTTATTTTGTTCAAATTAGTAGCAACAGAAACAATATGCAGCAAATTAAACCACAAAATATATGAAAAATACATTGCAATGGACTAAATGTGTTTCCCCCAAATTCATGTGTTGAAATCTGACCCCCAGTGTGATGGTATTAGAATGGGATTAGTGACCAGATGTGATGGCTCATGCCTATAAACCCTTTACTTTGGGCTGAGGCAGGCAGATCACTTGAGCCCAGGAACTTGAGACCAGTCTACGCAATACAGTAAAACTCAGTCTCTACAAAATATATCAAAATTAGCTGGTGAGACGGTGGGCGCCTTTAGTCCCAGCTACTTGGGAGGCTGAGGTGGGAGAATCAGTTGAGCCCAGGAGGTGGAGCTGCAGTGAGCTCTGATTGCACCACTGCACTCCATCCTGGGTGACAGAGCAAGACTCTCTCTCAAAAAAAGAAAAAAAAAATGAATCAGTGCCTGCTGTGATTTGAATGCTTATACCTTCCAAAACTCATGTTGAAATTTAATTCTGAATTAAATTTTGGAAAGTAGTATTGACAGATGGTCATTTAAAAGGTGATTGGCTCATGAGGGCTCTGCCCTCTTGAATGCATTAATCCACTCATAAATTAATAGATTAATGGATTATAAGTTATCATGGGAGTGGAACTGGTGGTTTTATAAGAAGAGAAAAAGAGTTCTGAGCTAGCAGGCCCAGTCCACTCACCATGTAATGCCCTGCACCTCCCCAGGTTCTTCAGAGTCCTCATCAGCAAGAAGGCCCTCACCAGATGGGTCACCCCAACCTTGAACTTCTCAACCTCCATAACTATAAGAAATAAAATCATTTTCTTTATAAGCTATTTGGTTTCGAATATTCTGTTACAAGCAACAGAAAATGAACCATGAGAGGAAATAGATCCTGAGAGCTGAATGTTTGGGCAATGAATACCTAAAAAAGTGAAAGTGTCTTAGGAACTAGGTAATAGGTGGAGACTAGAATTTCGAGAAGTAGGCTAAAAAAAGCTTAGATTCTAGCCTAGATCCTTGTCTACAAGACTAAAAGACTAGGGAAAGTTTCAAACTCCTTAGAGATTAGTGAGGTGGTTTTGACAAGATTGCTGTTAGAAATATGAACAGTAAAGGTCATTCTGATGAGGTTTCAGATGGAACTGAGGAAAAAGGTATTGGAAACTGGAGTAAAGGTTATTCTTTTAATAGTAGGCAAAGAATGTTGCTAACCTCTGTCCATGCCTGAGGGCTTTGTGTAAGGCTTCATATGGGAGTGATGAAGTAGGGTATCTGGCCGAAGAAATTTCTAAGAAAAATATGGAGACAGTTGCAGGGTTCCTTCCTTTCAGCTGCTTACCCTGAGATTCTAGAGAAAAGAAATAATTTTAAAACAGAGTTTATAATTAAAACTGAAGCAGAACAGAAAGATTTGGGAAACTCTCAGTCTGGCCACCCAATGAGTAAAAAAGGATGTTCAGGAGAGGAAATTAAGGATATAGCCCAGGGACTATTTGCTAAAAATGATTAGCACATGTACAAGGAAGCCAGATATTATTCCTGAAAAGAATGGAAGAAAAACTCCAAAGTAATGTTAGAGATCTTCAAGGCTGCCTTCCCATCATAGGCCCAGAGACCTAAGATGGCAGAATTATTTCAAGGGACAGGCCTAGGGTACTCTCCACAAACTTATTTCCAAGGGCTGCCTCAGGACTCTGCTTCCCATACCTCAGCGCAACACTCTGAGGCTGCCCCAGCCATGGCTCCTGCTGCAGCTCCGGAAGTTACAGGTTATAAGCCTTGACACTGTCCATGTGATGCTAGTTTGCAGAAAGCGAGAGCTGTGGAGGGTCAGCAGCCTCCACTCAGATTTCAAATGACGTATTGAAAAGCCTAGGGGCCCAGGCAGAGATTTGTCATAAGGCCTACCACAGAGAGCACTCACTCACTGGAGCAATGCTGAGTGGAAATGTGGGGTTGTAACTGACACAAAGATTACCAACCAGGGCAATGCATAGGGGAGCCATGCAAGCAGGACAAATACTGGGACTCCATAACTGTGAAGTCACCAGCAGCATGCAATGCCCACCTGGGAAACTTTAGACACCAGAGTCCAACCAGTATGAGCAGCCATGTAGACCCTACCCAGCAAAGCCACAGGGCCAGGGCCTCCTGATATCTCGGGGGCCAAATCTCCACCTCAGTGTGTCCATGAGATGGCCCACAGAGTCATAAAAGGTTTTTCTCCAGCTTTAAGATTTAATGTCTACCCTGCTGGGTTTCAGGCTTGCTTGGGGCCTATTATTCCTTTTTTTTCTCCCTATTCTTAGCTTTTGGAAAGGAAACGTCTATCTTATACCGGCACCACTGTATCTTGAAAATGCAAAACTTGTTTTGATTACACAGGTTCACATATGAGACTCTGGACTTTGGACTTCTGAGTGGGTACTGAGACAAGCTAAAGCTTTGGACTATGGGGAGAGAACAAATATATTTGTATGTTAGAAGGACATGAGTTTGGGGGATCCGTGAGTAGGATGCTATGTTTTAAATGTTTGTCCCCTCCAAAACCCATGTTGAAACCTCATCCCCAATATGATAGTATTGAGAAGGGGGTCCTCAAAAGGTAATTGGGTTATGGGACCTCTACCATTATGAATAGACTGATCCATTCATAAATTAATGAATTAATATGTTAATTAATTAATGGGTTATTATGGACATCAGACTGGTGGCTTTATAAGGAGAGGAAGGCAGATCTGAGCTAGCATACTTACCTGCCTTGCCACGTGATGCCCCCTGCCACCTCTGGACTCTGCGGAGTCCTCACCACCACAAAGGCCCTCATTAGATGCAGCCCCTTGACCTCAGGCTTCTCAGCTTTCATAACTGTAAAAATGGTTTTTTAATTTAAATTATTCAGACTCAGGTATTGTTTTATAGGCAACAGAAAATGAACTAAGACAGCACCCTTAAAAAAAGAATCCCAGAGAGTTCTCTAATTCTCTTCCTGCCATGTAAGGATATAATAAGTCATAAGAAGTCAGCAGTCTGCAACCCAAAAGAGGATCCTCACCAGAACCTGAGCATGCTGACATCCTGATCTCAAATTTTCAGCCTCTAAAGCTGTAAGAAATAAGATACTGTTGCTTATAAGCTATCCAATCGCTGACACATTATTATAACTGTTCAAACTAAGATATACATACATTAAAAAGTGAACAAAGATAAAGTTAAGATAATCTTAAAATATATCTTTGGCACAAATATTACAAAAAAATTTTCAGTTCGTTTTCATTCAAATTATCTAAGAAAGTCTATGAAAATCCAATAATAATTTTTATTTCTGCTTTTCTATCCACTATTTCCCTCCAATTAAATATCCCTAAGGATTAGAAAAATGACCCAAGTTTATGTTACTAGGAGTTTTGCTATTGAGATTCTTGCAGAGTGATGCTCTGGAAGAAAATATACTTTAATAAGTCTCTTTTTGTTCTTGCTTCAGTTTTGTTTGCATCATGTAAATAATTAATACCCAATGGGGAAGCATTCCAGTTAGTAGGTCTACTTTCTATGTATCGTATTTCTAGATGTAAAAAAAAAATTCAGTCCCATTAATCTGTTATTTGTAAATGTTATGAAATGTATGAATAACATTAGTATTAATTCATAAGACATGTTGAGCAAAGTTATAATATCCTATTTTGCATAATTGTGATATAAACGTTTATTTTTTTCTTTAGATATTGTAGAAGGCATCTCCTTTTTAATGACGAACATTTCCTTTCTTTCTTACCCTTTAACTTATTGCTTGAAATATTTTCTTTTCTTTTTCCTGTTTTTTTTCCCTTTTTTTTTTTTGAAATAAATTTTCACTCTTGTTGCCTAGGCTGGAGTGCAATGGCATGATCTCAGCTCATCACAACCTCTGCCTCCCAGATTCAAGTGATTCTCCTGCCTCAGCCTCTCAAGTAGCTTACAAGTAGCCTCTCAAGAGATTACAGGCACCTGCCACCACACTCAGCTAATTTTTGTATTTTTAGTAGAAACACAGTTTCACCATGTTGGTCCGGCTGGTCTCAAACTCCTGACCTCAGGTGATCTGCCTGCCTAGGCCTCCCAAAGTGCTGGAATTACAAGCATGAGCCACCACACCCGGCCTTCTTGAAATATTTTCATAACAGTCATCTTAAAATAATTTTCTTTAACATCAATATACTTTGGAAAAATTTCTTTATTACTATTACATTTTCACACCATGAGAATACCGAACTCTTTTCTAGTTTTGTTATATTTAATGTAAATTTAAGTAGTGAGGAAAATGGGAAGAGTCTGGATGTTATAGTACTGTATTTTCTTTTGAGGTTAGTTTTTGTAGTGTCAAACTATATTTTTATTCAAAATTTTTATAGCATATAAACTCATACAATAATTAAGTTTATTAGTGAAATTACTTCAGTAATTAGAAGATATTAGTGACTATATAGAGAGCTATTTCAGCTAAAAGTCTTTATTCAAATAAGCTGAATTAGTTTTAAAGTTATCTGTTCAGAATTAAGTTGCAAATAAATAAAAAGTTAAGTTCATCACAGCCATATCTTCTGTTTACTAACTATTCTAATAATTTTCCGTAAAAATGCATCATTAATTTTAAAATAAATGCATCATCATCATTATTATTTTGCTTTGATAAATTGCATGATACCATATTTTATTTGATGGTAATATTACAAAATTAAAATCATATGGTATAGCAAAATCTACTTTTATTTTATTAATTTAAAATACTATATTTGTATGCTAATTTAGGTTATATTGATTACAATTTTTTTCAAAATGAATTTGTTCTATGGATCAGATATATTTTGTTAACCATTTCTTTTTCCGGTCATTTTTTAAAAACTAAATCACTTTAACAAGACTTCATTGGTCAGTTATTATATTACAAAGTATAAAACTCTTAGATACTCTTGATTCAATAACAGCAAATTATCTCTACTTAATATGCCATATAAAATTTTTTCACAATACATTGGAGGAGTCAATGATAATAATAAAAAAATTCTCATTACTTATAACTGCTACCAATCAAGTACATGGTTTTCCTCAAAATGTAATATACTAGGTAAAACAAGAAGTTAAACTGTTTTATCATTAAAATAGAGTGCAAAATAATGATTACTTTTTATGAAAAACTCAGTGCTCAACTTTCAACATAATGCTAAATATGAAATTAGTGAACTAGAATATGGGGAAACTGCATAGTGTACTGAAACATTAAAACAGGGTCCCGAACATCTTTCCTTAAATATTACCTTCTCAAAAAGTCATTCCATGGCAAATTTTGTTTCCCATACATATTTTCTCCTTCTGCTCCTAGCATTTATTTAGCCCCCTGGAATTTATGACTATCTAAAATATTTGTTATATCTGTTAAACTTTTTTTTTTTTTTTTTTTTTTTACAGTCAGTCTCTTCCCATTGAAATATCTGAGAAGGATTCTTTACTACTTTGTTCCCTGATGTATTCTTGGTGCCTCAAACTATTTATTACATAATGGAAGCTTTATTAATCAAGATTCACTAACTTATACTGCTGTTAACAACCTAAACAAATCTGAGTAAATTAAGAGTTGACTCTCCATATTCCATATCCTTATTCCATAGAGTAGCTTCAGTCAATAAAAGCTCCAATATTCCGGGCTACACCATCTGGAACATGTCTCCATGTTCTCTCCAGCAAGGGATGAGAGCCCTAAAAGGCTTGACTGATAACTAGATGCTTTGGTCCAGAAGTGCTACCCATCACTTTTTTCAAGAAGTGAACACATGGTCTGCTTAACTTCCAGAGGAAATAAAGTGCAACCTTCTAGTATACCTGGAAAAGAAGGAGAACCATATGTGTGTAAACAATAACAGTTTTTTTTTTCAATACAAATTTCTATCATAAAGACCAGTAAATAAATATATGCACTAATAACTGAATAAATTGTGATTGATCACATCCCTTTGATTTAGGAGACTGCTAGTGTACATGCTGTATGAGGGTTCATTCAGCTCTAGGCCAAAATGCTGCTTGTGATATTTTAGGCTTGATATTGGTAAGAATACATGGTATTCTTAGGAATCATTAAATTGGCATACAAATAAATAACTACCATTAGAGAGACACAAAGAAAAGATTTACCTGAGAAGCTGATATAGTTTGGCTCTGTGTCCCCATCCAAATCTTATCTCAAATTGCAATCATAATTGTAATCCCCATGTGTCTAGGGAGGAAAGTGGTGGGAGGTGATTGGATCATGGGGACAGTTTCCCCCATGTTGTTCTCATAATAGAACTCACATAAAATCTGGTCGTTGACAGTGTGTGGCTCTTCCACACTTTCTCTCTTTCCTGCTGCCTTGTGAAGAAGGTGCTTTCTTGTCCTTCACTTTCTGCCATGATTGTAAGTTTCCTGACACCTCCCCAGCCATGTGGAACTATGAGTCAATTAAATCTCTTTCCTTTATAAATTATACAGTTTTGGGTAGTTATTTATAGCAATGTGAAAACTGACTAATACAGAAGCTTTTAGTCAGTAATTTGGAGGAAGGGGCTTTTGGGTAAATATAAGGTTAGTCTTACGTAATAACATAACAGTGAATATTACTGCATTTTGTTAATGCCAAACCAAAGACCAGTTTATGGGAACTAAAAGCCAGTGGATTCAACAGTAAGGTTTTTAAATATTTTTCCTTTTTGACTTTTTTTTATTTTGGAAAAAAAAATCACTTTAGCTTTCAAAGGTTTAATATTTCCTCCAAAATCTTTGATAAACTGCAATTATGTGTTCTGTTTTTTGAACATGAAGGAAGTATAAAGAATTTTCTCTTCTGCAAGTAGTATAGATATGCAGAACACATCCTTTTCTACTAAATACATTTTTTCTAATAAATTACACTCTTTTGAAAATTAAACTAATCTAATATAAAGCATCTGCAAATTATTCTTGAATTTTTATTTTTTAATATATTTTACATTGAGCATTTTCTTATCTCAATTCTGAAATGATACAAGTTAGAAAATATTACTTTCCAAATCCAAAATAGTCTATAAATATGGATTACATATTTTAAATAAATACTAAATAGCAAAATTGCATAAAACTTAGTTATATTATTAGTTATTAAATTTTATTATTTTTATTAATTAGTTATTAAAATTTATTACATTATTTTCAGTTGCCAACAAATATTTATATTCTAGTTGTGCTAAGATGGTTGGAAGCCTCTGAAGATCCATTCTCTATTCATTTTCTGGTAACAGAATTATAGCTGGGATAGAATGACTAGCTGTGAATTTTCTAGCCTGTGAAATATATTCGAATTAATTCTCTTGGACATAAAATGAGAAAAGATGCGTGTCAGTTCTACACTCAGTCTAGAGAAAACCTTTCTGATTCCTTCCTTTACAGCCTTTCCCATTTCCACAAGCTAGAACATGGAAATGCCAGAAAAATCTTTGCATACTTGCCAATGAAACAGCCTAGAGGTGGTCAAAAAATATCACAATAGATAAAATATCTATCTGTAAATGATCCTGTGGACCAGAGTCACTGGTCATTTGGAATTGTTACATGTGAGATAAATAAACATCTATTTTTTAATTAAGCTGCTAAGTTATTATTCTCTGATTCCTATACATGAGTTATACAAAACCAAATGTTCATTCAATTAATGTCATATAGTATAAATACAAAGTGGAAAAAACAAATTTAAAGAATTAGCACAATACAGTTGATGCCCTGATTTTTCATTATCTCACAAAATGATATCTTAGGTTGAGTATAGATGGACAAAAAGTCTACCACATCATCTTTCTACTCCTATTAAAAAATAAACACCTTTACATTTTTGGTCAATCTTATTATTTAAATGGTAATAAGAATGAACATTTCTTTTTACCTTCCTCACCCTCCTAATTACCTTCAAATCCTATGTTTTGCTGCGATAATTTAATCTATATTTTTATGTTGTTTATCTTATATCATGTCTATTGGAAGACAATTTTTTATGGTTTCTTGCATTCCTGCGAGTTCTAGGCCTTTTGAGTTAAGGGCTTAGAATAACTCTGTTTGAACAACAAATATACCTTAGAAGCTAGACATAGTGTCTCCATAAATATAGAGACTCCCAGAGACATTCTACGGTAGTAAAGTTTTCTTCCTGTCTCTAAGACACCGCTTCTTACCTTTGAAGCTAGTAATGGTAGACAATTTCTCCTCCTCTCTCCAAAGACTTATTTGTGTCTTTCCAAAAGAAGAATCGACAGATTTGTGAGACATCCAGTGTTAGCTTTGAGTCTTATAATTTGGGTGTTCCATTCCTTTGGCACAACCTACTATTTACAAAAATACATCTCACATCATATCACTCTGTCAGAATAGTGTCATAAAGAATTAACATCAGATGTTGCTTTGGCTGCTATGGTTGCTGTGTCATTTACCCAGGGTCTTGCATCCTGTCTGTATATATACATATAAAATTGTGGCAATCATTTTATATAAGCTAGCTTGCATTCAGAATAATATCAGACCCTTTATAGTCTCTGACTTAACAATACCTATCTTCTGACTTAACAATACCTATCTTCTTTTTATTATTTACTTATTTTCATTATTATTATTTTTTAATTACATCTTAAGTTCTGGGGTACATGTGCAGAACATGCAGTTTTGTTACTTAGGTATACACAGGCCATGGTGGTTTGCTGCACCCATCAACCCGTCACCTACATTAGGTATTTCTCCTAATGTTATCCCTCCCTCAGCCCTCACCCCTGATCAGGCCCCAGTGTGTGATGTTCCCCTCTTTGTGTTCATGTGTTCTTATTGTTCAATTCCCACTCATGAGTGAGAACATGCGGTGTTTGATTTTCTGTTCTTGTGATAGTTTGCTGAGAATGATGGTTTCCAGCTTCATCCATGTGCCTGCAAAGGACATGAACTCATCCTTTTTATGGCTGTATAGTATTCCATGGAGTATATATCCCACATTTTCTTCTTTTTTAAAAAATCTCCAAAGCTCTATGATGATAACATATTTAACTATCCTTGTATTGATTCAACTTCTCTACTGTATGTTGTCCTGTGTTTAACTATCATCTCTAGTTCAATAATTGTTGTGTCAGAATATATTATTGTGTATTATCCCCAGGTAGAATGCATAGGTAGCATATCAAATGAAACTTTGCATTTTGAAAATCACATCCACTGTTTCTGAGAGACGAGGTTATAAAGAGTACTTTGGTCATATCCACTTGCCTACCACCCAATATATTACTATTTTTGCCTAATGCTAACCTATTATTTTTAACTTAATATGTGTGTTTGTACATTTTTGTTTAAAAAGAGAGCACATGTTGTTTAAGAAAAAAATGAAAAGCTTAGATGGCTAAATAAATGTTTTCACATTAAAATAAGCAGACATTCACATTTCGGGGAAATCTAGAATACTTCTCACTTCAAGTGTCATTTGATCATGAAGATCATGATGTCATCAGCATTCCCATTCCATTTCCCAGAAGTGAAGTCATCTTGATATTTATAGTGTGCTTCAATTTTGGGTCATTTTTATCAGTAAATTCAGACATCTTAACTGATTCAAAAAAAGACAATGCACACACTACATTTCCTCTCTTAAAACTATCTCCTACAGATGAGCAAAATCACATTTTTAAAATTACATGTTTTTCAAAACTTCTTATGTTTTGTGAGCTCAAGATGTTTTATGCTATAACATAATAAGAAGAGAAAGGTAATCCTCCTCCTCCACACCCCCCATACACAGTAAGAGTATGCCCAAGAGAACAGAGGCAACAGGTGATTAAGGACAATCTCCTAGTGTCCACTAAAGCAGGCATAAACAGCATAAGAAATCAGTTCTTTCTGACTGAAAGCATTTTATAAAATGCTAGGATATTGTTGATATTGTCAATGTGAGATCAGAGATGACACAAACAAATGAAAAAACATTCTATGCTCATGGATAGAAAAAACAGTATTATTAAAATTGCCCAAAGAAATTTACAGATTCAATGCTATTTCCCTCAAACTACCAATGGCATTCTTTACATAATTAAAAAAAAATTTTAAGCTCATATTGAACCAAATAGGAGCCTGCATAACTAAAACAATCTTAAGCAAAAAGAACAATGATGAAGGCATCACGTTACTTTACTTCAAACTATACTACAGAGATATAGTAACCAAAACAGACTTATGCTGACACAAAAGCAGACAAGACAAATGAAACAGAATAGAGAGCCCAGAAATAAGGCTGTACCCCTACAACCATCTGATCTTTGACAAAGCTGACAAAAACAAGCAATGGGAAAAGGACTCCCTATTCAATAAATGGTGCTGGTATACCTGGCTAGCTATATGAACCTGGAACCCTTCCTTCCACCATATACAAAAATCAACTCAAGTGGACTAAAGACTTAAATGTAAAACCCTCAAAGACAACCTAGGCAATACCATTCTGGACATAGTAACTGGCAATATTTCATGACAAAATGCCAAAAGAAATTGCAACAGAAACAAAACTTGACAAATGGGATCTAATTAAACTTAAGACCTCTGTACAGCAAAGGAAGATTTCAACAGAGTAAACAGACAAACTACAGAATGAGAGAAAATATTTGCAAATTTTCCATCATACAAAGGTCTAATATTAAACATCTATATGAAACTTTGGCAAATTTACAAGAAAAAACAAGCAACTGCCTTAAAAAGTAGACAAAGGACATCAACAGACACTTTTCACAAGACCTACATGCAACCAACAAATATATGAAAAAATGCTCAATATCACTGATAGAGAAATGTAAATCAAAACCACAATTAGGTACCATCTTACACCAGTCAGAATGGCTATTTTTAAAAAGTCAAAAAGCGACAAATCTAGTGAGATTGCAGAGAAAAGGGAATGCTTATACACTGTTGGTGGGAGTGTAAATTAGTTCAACCATTGTGGAAGATGGTATGATGATTCCTCAAAGAGTTAAAAACAGAATTGCCATTTGACCCAGCCATCCCATTACTGGGTACATACCCAGAGGAATATAAATTTTTCTACCATAAAGACACATGCATGTATATGTTCATTGTGGCACTATTCACAATAGCAAAGACATGGAATCAGCTTAAATGTCCATCAATGGCAGATTGGATAATGAAAATGTGGTACATATACACCATGAAATACTACACAGCCATAAAAGAAAATGAGATCATGTCCTTTGCAGGAACATGGATGAAGCTAGAGGCCATTATGTTTAAGCAAGCTAATGCAGAAACAGAAAACCTAAAACCACATGTTCTCACTAATAAGTGGGAGCTAAACTATGAGAACACTTGGACACAATGAGGGGAACAACAGACAATGGGGCCTACTTGAGGGTAGAGCATGGGAGGAGGGAGAGGATCAGAAAAAAATACTATTTAGTGGTAGGTTTAGTACCTGTACAGCAGACCCTCATGACACAAGTTTACCCATACAACAAACCTGCGCATGTACCCCTGAACCTAAAATAAACTTTTAAAAATTAAATGAGTAAAATTAAAATTTTAAAAAGAAATATTAGAATTTCACTGTGTCTTTCTAGGACTATGTCTTTTAAAAATAAATAATTATAATTTTAACTTTTTTTTTTCTTTTTGAGATGGAGTTTCACTCTTGTTGCCCAGGCTGGATGGAGTGCAATGGCGTGTTCTCAGCTCACTGCAACCTCCACTTCCCAGGTTCAAGGGATTCCCCTGCCTCAGCCTCTCAAGTAGCTGAGATTACAGGCGCCTGCCACTACTCCCTGCTAATTTTTGTATTTTTAGTAAAGATCGGGTTTCACCATGTTGGCCAGGCTGGTCTCGAGCTCCTGACCTCAGGTGATACACCCGCCTCAGCCTCCCAAAGTTCTGGGATTACAGGCGTGAGCCACTGCGCCTGGCCTTAACTGATATTTTGAAGCATTTAAGAAAAACATTTTGAAGCACAGTGTAAATGTTAAATTGTACCAATACAAAAGATTTCTTTTTTCATCATTTTGTCATTTTTCTACCTATTCCCCTGCCAAGAAAAAGGTATAAAATGTACTCAAGCTATGCTATATGTGGCAAAATTAGAAAAAAAATATTTTCAATTACTTTATTTTAGACTAATTATTAATAATACATTCTAGAAGTTGTACTAAATTATCCTGGCACTTAGTACTGTGAAATAATATAAAATGTAAAAATTCCAGGTTTTTTTATTAGATTAAAAATCCCAGATAAAATATATTAGATATATAATAAAACACATATTTGAAAAGATCCATTGGGAGGAAAAGGCATATTAGCACAGTACACAGATAAAAATCTGTATTTCATACATCCAAATGATGTATTGGTTAAATAGAAGGATAATAACATTAAGAATTCTGCCAATCACAGATAATTTTCCAAAATAAAATTGTATCTGCTGATCATATATTTCTTAAAATAAACATGTAATGGCATTTTAGCAGAGACTGTAAGAGAGTCCAAAGCTCATACAGCTCACTGCACAACAGCTAAAAATTGAGAGACAAGGTGTTGGGGCAAGGAAAGCAACTTTATTTCAGAGATTGAGCAAATCCAGAGGTTAGTGGACCAGTGTCTTAAAGAACCATCTTAACTTAATAGAATTTGAGGTTCTCTTTATGTTATAGGAAGAAGAACGAGGGAGGGGCTTGAGATCAAAAGCTGGCAGATAATCACAGACATCCGAATGGCATCAAGGGTCAGGGGTGGGGGAACCTTGTGAAGATTATTTGTTGTTGGTCAGGTCACAATGCTCCTATAAATCTTTAACATGACATTGTATTAATACTTGTGTATTCACCCTCCTTATTTGGGGGAGGGAGCTATTATCATCCTTGCTTTAAATTATACACTAAATTCCTCCCGTAGTTAGCTCAGACTACTTGTAGAGATAAGCAAAAGGATTTAATGGAAAAGATATCACTGCATAGTACAGAGGGTTAGGAGCAAAATGGAGCTAGTCATGTTAGGCCTCCTTTTGACTGCTACCAGTTGATTTCCATATATGAACAGAAGAATAAATGGTTTATTGATTTATAATGAAATAAAAATAATTCAGAAATGGTGGATGACATCAAAATTAAAAGACCTGTTAAAATAAATGGACTTTTCTGTCCTTTTCTGTTTTTGATCTTAAGGGGAAGATGTTTACCATTTAATATTTTATAATTATTTCAGCTTGTTGGTATTTGCCATGTAATTCTAAGGTGGAAAAAAGTAAGATGCTAGGGAAAATATATAACTATTGTTAAGATTTTAATAATCAGTGTGAGATGGTATAAATGTTTTGGAGGGATGAATCCCTAGACAAAAAAAAAAAAAAAACAGAAACATCTGTGCAGTTATAAAGCACAAAAACAGACAACCACACAAGAAAACAGTAGCCTATCACTTTAGCCTTGTGTTTTTTAATTAATATTGTATTAAAAATAAAATGAATTGGGCCATTTTTGTATGAAATTTGTATCCAAATACAAATATAAATTTGTGTTATGTGGGGAAATTTATATCTAAATAATACAATTGATCACAGGTTATAAAGCATACAAAATTGCAAATCATCTTTATTCTACCTCTAAATGATTTCCTTAATCATTAAAGATTCTTGGGAAACAGAAGATTTACATTACACAGATGGCAAATTAATCACATTCATCACCATTTTAAGCATCGTATTTTGGCAGCTGTCAAACATATAATTGCATATATATGCATATTAATATTTTTAGGTAGTTAATGTTATTGTGATAATATTTAACATTTCAGTATTAAATTTAAATCAAGATAAATTTTAACATATAAATTATTATGTTTCCTTACTCTTAAAATTCCAGTAGTTGATTATAATCTTTAATTTAATTTTACATATTAAAAAGTCATGAGTTTAGTAAGTTTACCCAGAAGTGTAAAAAAACTAGGAACTCAGCAGTGTGCAATCTCTGTATCACTGTTTTCCCTAGTGCAGTTTTGTTGCAGTCTCTTCCTCAGAGAAATCTTGTGCTCTTCAGAGAATCAAGTTCTTATTAGATGAATAATTGGGACAAATTTTAGTTGAAATCATATTTTCTTTGAAACAGCATAACATGTGTATTTCCAGTATCTGAGTATTACATGACCATTTATTGTAAGACCATACACTAAACTAATCTCTAATTTTTTTTTGATATAATCTACTTGTGAATTTTTTAGCTATATACAGATATGCTTATAAAAACTTCATAATCGGCTGGGCACGGTGGCTCACGCCTGAAATCCTAGCACTTTTGGGAGGTTGAGGAAGGCAGATCACCTGAGGTCAGAAGTTCAAGACCAGCCTGGCCAACATGGTGAGACCACATCTCTACTAAAAATACAAAAAATTATTTGGGCATGGTGGCAGGGACCTGTAATCCCAGCTACTTAGGAGGCTGAGGCAGGAGAATCACTTGAACCCAGGAGGCGGAGGTTGCAGTGAGCTGAGAGTGTGCCATTGCACTCCAGCCTGGGCAACAAGAGTGAAACCCTGTCTCACAAAACAAAACAAAACAAAAACAAACAAACAAAAACCTTCATAATGTATCATAACAAAATATTGAAACACAATTCCTTCTCCTTTTAGAATTATTATGTTATTAAACAGGACAACACTCTCTTTAAAATAAAGGAATAAAGGTATTACCATTGTGTATTAGTCCATTACTACACTGCTATAAAGATACTACCTGAAACTGGGTAGTTTTTAAACAAAGTGGTTTAATTGACTCCCAGTTCCACATGGCTGGGGAGGCCTCAGGAAATTTACAATCATGGCAGAATGGGAAAGAGGGACCTTATTCCCAAGGTGTCAAGAGAGAAAGAAGTGCATTTAGGAGAAATGCCATATGCTTCTAAAACCATCAGAACTCATGAGGAATTACTCACTAGAGTGAGAAATTGCCCCCATGATCCAATCATCTCCCATGAGGTTCCTCCCTTGACAGGTGGAGATTATTGGGATTACCTTTCCCAATGAGATTTAGATGAGGATACAGCCAAAACCATGTCACATTGATTATTATCTTGATAATACTATTTCAGAATCCAAACATTATAAACTTTAATAAGATAATCATATGTTGTAGGGGCTAGAATCCATGTATGCTGGACAGTGTCTGGCACTCAAACTACTCATGTTTTATTGATAAGTCTGATGAGTTTAATGAATACTGATATGGTTTAGATCTGTGACCCCACTCAAATCTCATGCTCAGTTATAATCCCCAGTGTTTGAGGTGAGGCCTGGTGGGAGGTGATAGGATCATTTGGCAGATTTCTCATGAAAGGGTTAGCACGATCCCCTTGGTGCTGCTGTCATGATAGTGAGTGAGTGCCCCATGAGATCTGGTTGTTTAAAAGTGTGTAGCACCTTCCCCCTTGCTCTTTTGCTCTTGCTGTGGCCATGTAAGGTGAGCCAGTTTCCACTCCACCTTCCGCCATGATTCTAAGTTCCCTGAGGCCTCTCCAGGATGCAGCCATACTTCCTCTAAAAACCGCAGAACTGTGAGCCAATTAAACATCTTTTCTCTATGAATTATCTAGTCTCAGATATTTCTTTTTTCTTTTTCTTTTTTTTTTTTTGAGATGGAGTCTCGCATTGTTGCCAGAGGTTGGAGTGCGATGGCACAGTCTTGTCTCACTGCATCCTCCGCTCCCCGGGTTCAAGCAATTCTTCTGCCTCAGCCTCCCGAGTAGCTGGGATTACAGGTGTCCACCACTACACCTGGCTAATTTTTTGTATTTTTAGTAGAGACAGGGTTTCACTATGCTGGCCAGGCTGGTCTTGAACTCCTGGCCTCATGATCCACCAGTCTCGACCTCCCAAAGTGCTGGGATTACAGGTGTGAGCCACCGTGCCTGGCCATCAGGTATTTCTTTATAGCAATATGATAATGGACTAATAGAAATGCCAAAATTTTCTTTATAATTTTGCAACTCAATTTAACATGTAATTTTAAATTGATTAATCATTATTGCATAATTTTGTACTTTGTTTTAAAATTATTTAAAATACATAATTAATTAAAGGCAGTATTCTACTCAAAAGTTTGTGAAAATCAAAGAAACCATCAAAAATATAATGAATACTTTTTTGAGGCCATCCTTTCCATTTATTCCATCCTAGTTAGAGAAAAGATCTAATTGGTACAGAATGATTTTCAAAATTACTCTGCATTTAATTGATGTTTAAAATCATTTGAGGATTATTAGGCAAGCAAAATATCCAAAAGGATATATTACTAGACTCTAGCAGTCTAGTGTATTTGAATATGATTTAAAATATTTCTACATTAATAATCATATTCTCTGAGATATAACTTTTTACCTTATTGTAAAGGAAAAGGTATGCAAAGAAGTTATATAATTTGCTTAGAATTAGATAGGTGGAGACTCAGTTCAGCTACACATTGAATTTATATCATAGAAATAAGACTTAATGATTAGCATAACTTTAGAAATACATTTTCCCCTCTTTATAGAAGCTTCATTACAAGAAGGAAGATCATCAAAACATGCTATCAGGAAGAAACTTATGGGCAATCAATATTTGACATTTATGAGAAACAAATATATGAATTGATAAGATGATAAAAATTTATATAACTTTATATGCATTTCATCCTATATTTCTGCAAAGTAAAAGATGTAGTGATAAATTTCCCTGTTCAATACAAAATTATATACTAGGTAACATTTTCCCAAAAAAACTCAATTTAGAAGTTTTATATATTATCCATGAATGTCATTAATTTAAATATTGCATTAACTCAGAAAACTGGCAGTTTCTCTTCCAAACCTGTCATAGCTCATTGAGTGGTAAATGGGGCAAGGGTGTGTCTTAATTAAATTCATATATGGTATCTCTTTGCTAAACTTGCAACAAATGATGGGATTCAAGATTTTCTCTTCATTTCTTAAAGATCTTCAATGATTTTCTCTATTATTTATCTTATGAAAGTCACTATAATAAATTAAACTATACACTATAGAACCCATTTCAAAAGAAAATCCATAGACAGAGCTCCGTCAGGGATCAGGCAAAGTACAAATTCTGCATAATAGTTTTACACATTAAAGGACTCATTATGTCACTGCATTCCCAATCTCTTCTGTATGGCAATGATTACAAGGTAATTTTGCTTACATACATTTCTATTAAAATGAACGAGAAAATACTGAAGTTTTAAAACTACTGAAATATGTTTTAATTTATTTCACAAAACACCATTAACTTTTAATATTTTATAAAGTTAACAAATTATAAAACAAAGAAGAAAATATATCGTGACATAAGAAATAAACTGCTCATTTTATTTAGAAGCTGAATCTAGTTATCTATTAGTCTGTGTATATTTAAATTACTGCCAGACTATTTTGTGTTCAACTTTTTAATTTTGCTATGTATGACAATAATTCAAAAGAATTTTATATTATTTGTAGAATAATAAATTCACAAAATTTTTATCTTTATTTCTTTAGAAATTATTAATAATAGTCCATCAGAGCAGATAGTATTTTATTCTTTTTTTTTTTGTATCTAAGGCTTAGAATGAAGTCTCATATGTAACTGGAATTTAACAAGTGTTTTCTGAGTCAGTACACCAGAAACAAACAATGGCATTTTTAATACTTCTTTATGCAAAATATTTCTTCGGTGATTGAGGATAGAACAGTAAAAAAATACATAAAATTCTCTGTCATGAATATTGTATTCTGAAAAAGACAGACAACAAATTTCACACTGACATTCACATAATACACATACCACTGAAAGATTAATACTATTATGTAATTAAGCCAGATTATAAGGACAATGAGAAGAAATGAGTTTCCATAGTAAATAATATAAAGTTTCGTAAAATATATTAATTAGGCTATCAATCCCCAAGAGAAAAATTATGTAATAATTGCTCCAGTTTGAATGTTTTACCACCTTCCAAAATTCATGTATTAGAAACTTAATTCCCAATGTGTCCGTGTTGAAAGGTGGTGCTACTGGGAAGTGTTTGGGAATGAATGAATACTTGTATAAAAAGGGCTTGCAGGAATAAATTATTTCTCTAAAATTTTCCTGCCATGTGAGAAACAGTGTTCCTTGCCTCTAGAAGATGCAGTGCTCAAGGCTCATCTTGGACGAGAATATTGGGTCCTAACCAGACACCAAAACCCACCAGTTTCTTGATCTTGAACTTTTAAACCACCAGAAGTGTGAAAAATAAACTTCTGCTCTTTATAAATTACTCAGTCTCTGGAGTTCTGTTGTAACAGCACAAAAGAAAGTAATATTTATCACAGATTTTTTGTTTGTTTGTTTGTTTTTGAGACACAGTCTCACTCTTGTTGCCCAGGGTGGAGTGCAATGGCACGATCTCGGCTCACCACAACTTCCTCCTCCTGAGTTCATGTGATTCTCCTGCTTCAGCCTCCAGAGGAGTTAGGATTACAGGCATGCGCTGCCTTGCCCAGCTAATTTTGTATTTTTAGTAGAGATGGGGTTTCTCCATGTTGGTCAGGCTGGTCTCGAACTCCCGACCTCGGGTGATCCACCCACCTTGGCTTCCCAAACTGCTGGGATTATAGGCATGAGCCAACACCCCTAGCCTATCACAGATGTTTTTTATCTTACCCTTGGAATATCTTTTGTAAATAGTGTTTCATAGAACACATATTAGATATACATAATCAAAGTCATTTTTATTTATTCTACTCTGTGAAATATAGCTATTTCCTTAAAAGTTAGCACAGTAAATGAGTCCTGCAATATTATTAAAGTGATTAACTGAAAAATGATTTATTAATTTTTGTTTATTAATTAATGCCTATACAAGTAAATTTAATTTATCGAGCACTGTACTAAATGCAGATGATGTGAAATTAAATAGCACATACCCTCATTCTAGGAAGAGTTTACTTTCATTATTAATATTTTCTTCTTGAATAAATAAAGCACTTAGTTTTCTCAGAAGATTAATAAAGTCTCTTATTACTATGTTGAAGTCAATCTGGTTGACAAAAAAGTAAAATTCGTATATATTTCAACAGGAAAAAAGTACATTTCTAGTAATGACTCAATAAGTTCATGTACGACTAATTTCTCTGCAGAAAACAACTATAAATTCTAGACATTATTTAAAATTATCTGGTGGAAATAGAGAGTGAAACAAAGTAGGCAAATTCTTGTTGAGTATATATGTGTGGAGAAACAGAGTTGTGTGCAATGAGTGCTCATTTTCACAATGTTGCCAACCACATTTCAGTGTGACATCTGGGCTGTTGGTTGTTTTGGTGAAAATAAAAATCAGTCATTCTTGCCTAAGGAGCCAGAACCCTGAATACAAGGAAATTTTCTGTTAAATAAGTGGATGGATAACCTTATCTATAAAAAAGCCAAGAGAAGATCCCAAATTCTGTCTACCCATATTTGGCTAATACCTGAAAGATGCATATGCTAAACAGACTCAAAAATCTCAGTTAAAAATATCAAATGTAAGACTGAAACATTTCTGAAGAAACAGTTTGCAGTTCAAGCCAAATTAAGGAATTGCCTGCTAAAGCAAAAGAAACAACACATTAGAAAAAGACAACAAAGTATATAACTTTTATTACTTACAATTCAAAATTCATTAATACATTAAGTCTCCCCAAATGAAGTTCATTCTCAAATAAAAGAAAATTAATTAACTGATTACAACTCTGAAATTACTCAGTTTTTGGAACTTGAGGCAAGAATTGTTAAATGGCTCTTTTATACTACTTTGAGTAATATAAAACAAAATGCTTGCAAGAAATGAAAAGATAAATTTAAGCTATTGTGAATGGTGTTACTATGAACATATGCTCACATGTATCTTTATAATAGAATGATTTATATTCCTTTGGGTATATACCCAGTAATGGGATTGCTGGGTCAAATGACATCATGTCCTTCACAAGGACATGGATGGAGCTGGAGGCCATTATCCTTAGCTAACTAACACAGGAACAGAAAACCAAATACTACATGTTCTCACTTAGAAAAGGGAGTGAAATTATGAGAACACATGACAAGTAGAGGGGAACAACACATAATGGGGCCTATCAGAGGGTGCAGGATTAGAGGAGAGGATCAGGAAACATAATGAATGGGTACTAGGCTTAATACTGGGATGATAAAATAATCTGTACAACAAACCCCCACGACACAAGTTTACCTATGTAACAAAACTGAATCTGTACACCTGAATGTAAAATAAAAGGCTAAAAAAAAGAAAAAGAAAACAAAATAAATATAAATTTAAGCAAAAAATGGAATGATAAAAAATAAGTGATTCTACAGTGGAAGGAAACATTAAAGAATTACGATAATATGAATAATGATATGATATATATCATATCATATATAATTGATATGATATATAGAAACATTATAACATTATTATAAACAAGTTTAACAGTAAAATGGACATAACAGAAGAAAAATAAATGAAGTTGATAATTGATCAATAGAAAGTATGTAATGTGAAAAACAGAGATAAAAATTGAAAAAGAAATTGAACAGTGACTTGAAGACTGTTAGATAATATGAAAGTGATTAACCCATCATTTAATTAGAATCACAGTGTGAAAGTAGAGAAATAAATGTGACTGAAAAAATTTTTAAGAAATAATAGCAGAAAATTTGCCAAAGTTGATGGAAGACATAAATGTGTAGATTAAGATACTCAATAAACACCAAGAAAGACCAACATGAAGATGGTCACACTATTAAACATAAAAGGCATACTACTCAAAACCAAAGGTGAATCTTGGGAGCAGTAAGAGAAATTATGCTAATTATGTTCAGGAAAATGATTCAATTAATGGTTAACTTTTTAATAGAAATTATGAAAAGAAATATTTAAAGTTTTTGCCTCTAATTGTGTATTTATTAAAAATGTCACTGAAGAATAAGATAGATTTTTACATCCAAAAAAATTAAGAAAACTTCTTTTTTTTTTTTTTTTTTGAGATGGAGTCTCCCTCTATTGCCCAGGCTGGAGTGCAATGGCATGACCTCAGCTTACTGCAACTTTGGCCTCCTGGGTTCAAGCGATTCTCCTGCCTCAGCCTCCCGAGTAGCTGGGATTACAGGTGCTCACCACCACCCGCAGCTAATTTTTGTATTTTAGCAGAGACAGGATTTCACCATGTTGGCCAGGCTGCTCTTAAATTTCTGACCTTGTGATCCTCCCGCCTCGGCCTCCCAAAGTGCTGGGATTACACGCATGAGCCACCACGCCCGGCCAGAAAACTGCTTATCAGTATTCTTATATTACAAGAAATGCTAAAAGAAGTTGTTCATGATAAGGGCAAATAATTTCAGGTGGATAGTCACATACTCAGAAAGGAGGATTAAGCACTAGAAATGGTAAACATCTTAATCATACAAAAGACCCTTTAACAAATACCTCTTAATTTTTTATTAGATATCAGATGGTTTAAAACAAAGCCATAACATTGTCATATAGGTTTATAAAGGATGTAGATACAATACATATAATAATGACAGTGGTCCATTGACCTACACAATTTCAAATTTTTAATAGTATACATAAAGTTGTACAGCAGTAACAGGGACTAGAGTGAAAAGAGTTAGATATACTTATATCTTTAAGTTTTAACAGGCATATGAGAGTGTATGTGTATGTATTTATGTGTATAGAGTGGTCTCTATCACATGCATTGAAATGTATAATATAGTCAAAGACATAAGAAAATTAAAATAGTATTAAAACAATATAAATTAAATCAGAAAAATCATAGAGAAAACAGACAATAAAAATGGAAAATAAATAATGAAATACACCCAAATCCAAGCATAAACATAATTTTATTGAATATTATGAACTGAGAACTCCAACTTAAAGACAGAAATTATCAAATGGGTCAAAAGCATAATTTAAGGGGTGAAAAAAAATGGTGGCTAGCAGGCAAGACTGACTTGCAGCTTCCATCCGGATGGACAGAGCATTGTGTGGAGACTCATACTGTGAACTTTGGCTCCGATAACTACTGCAGGAACAGATCAGGAAAGCAAAGAGAATCCACAAACCCTTTGATGATAGTGGCTTGCTGCTGCAGGCTCTGTAAGACAGCTGAAAAACTGTGAGTGCCCAAAGGGTGAGGGGGGGAACATCTGCCCTTGAAAGCATACCCCCACTTGGGAACCTGAAGGTCCAGATTACAGGAGTAGACTTGACCTTACCTGGAGCTGAAACAAATTTAGAGAGCCAAATGAAATATAGTGAAAGAGGAAGCAATGGGAAGAGCCCTGTGGGCACTCTTGGTTCCCAGGGAAGTCATTCCTGACTTTGCCTTGCAGGGGTCCTTGGGTAGAGCTGCCAGTGGAATTGGGGAAAAATGATAGGGAGGAAAAGAAAACTTCTAGCAGAACTTTGTAACAATTTCGGCCAAATAAGAAGCTTCCTGGAAAGAATCTGGGGGAGGTGGCAAACGGGAAACGCAGATATGAGCACAAAAACTGTGGCAGGTGGGAAGGTGCAAAACCTGAAAGCCCTGCTTGCTCTCTCAGTGGGGAGGCTTGTAACCTGGGTCAAGTTCCAAGCACTGCTCACTGGCTGCCTAGAAATAAACTCAGTGCTCTTGGTGGGGTATGGTGGAATTGAGGCTGGCCTTTCAGGCTGCATTGGAGCTGGGTGAGGTCTGTCACTGCCAGCTTTCCCCCACTTCCCTGGCAACCTGTATAATGCAGCAGAGGCAGCCATAAACCCCCTGGGAACATAACCCCTCAGCCAGAGAATGATACCTCCATCCCCCATAGCAGCTGCAGCAAACCCCACCAAGAAAAGTCTGAGCTTATATACACCTAGCATAACCCTGGCCCCACTGGATGGCCTTTTTACCCACCCTGATAGCTGAAGACAAAGGACATAATTTCGTGGGAACTCTGCAGCCCTGCCCACTGCCTGAGAAACCCAAATTCTTATCCAGGCAATCCTAAGGCAAGCTTGTATTCTCCCTGTACTACCACAGCTGATGCTCTCTGAAAGTGCCAACTACTGGCTGTAGGCCAACCACACAAAATCAGCATGCTAAACAAAACTACAACCAAGAATTCTCAAAGAGTTCAATTCACTCCCCTGTTATGTCCACTGGAGCAGGTGCTGGTATTCACGGCTGAGAGGCCTGAAGACAGATCACATCACAGGACTCTGCACACACTCTTCAGTACCAGCCCAGAGCCTGACAGCTCCACTGGGTGGCTAGACCCAGAAGAGAAATAATAATAATTGCAGGGAGGCCCCATCCCTAGAGGAAGGGGGAGAGCACAACATCAAGGGAGTACCCCATGGGATAAAAGGATCTGAACCGCAGCCCTTGAACCCCAGATCTTCCCTCTGACACAGTCTATCCAAATGAGAAGCAACCAGAAAAATAATTTTGATCATATGACAAAACAAGTTGTTTTAACAACCCAGAAGATCACACTAGCTCTCCAGCAATGGATCTAAACCAAGAAGAAATCTCTGAATTGCCAGAAAAAGAATTCAGAAGGCCGATTATTAAGCTAATCAAGGAGGCACCAGAGAAAGGTGAATACCAAATTAAAGAAATAAAAGATATAGTATATGGATAGAAAAATCTCCGAAGAAATCAATAGCATAAGTAAAAACAATCACATCTGAAAATGAAGGACACACTTAGAGAAATGCAAAATACACTGAGTAGCCTCAACAATAGAATCAAGCAAGTAGAAGAAACAACTTTAGAGTTCAATGACAAGGCATTTGAATCAACCCAATCTGACAAAGACAAAGAAAAAAGAATGCCAAAAAATGAGCGAAGTCTCCAAAAAGTTTGGAATTATGTTAAATGACTAAACCTAAGAATAACTGGTGTTCCTGAGGAAGAAAAGAAATCTTTAAGTTTGGAAAACATATTTGAGGAAGTAATTGAGGAAAGGTTCCCTGACCTTGCTGGAGATCTAGACCTGCGTATACAAGAAACTCAAAGAACACTAGAGAAATTCATCGAAAAAGATCATCACGTAGGCACATTGTCATCAGGTTATCTAAAGTCAAGACAATGGAAAAAAAATTAAGAGTTGTGAGACAAAAGCATCAAGTAACCTATAAAGGAAAACCTATCAGATTAACAGCAGATTTCTTAGAACAAACACTACAAGCTAGAAGGGATTGGGGTCCTATCTTTAGGCTTTTTAAACAAAACAATTATGAGCCAATAATTTTGTATCCAGTGAAATTAAACTTCATAAATGAAGAAAATATAGTCTTTTTCAGACAAGTGAATGCTGAGAGAATTTGCCACTACCAAGCCAGCACTATAAGAACTACTTAAAGAAGCTCTAAATATTGAAACAAATGGTCAAAATTAAACCTCCTTAAAGCATAAATCTCACAGGACGTATAGAATAAAAACATAATAGAAAATATTTGGTCAATAAATATGATGAATAGAATAGTACCTCACTTCTCAATACTAATCTTGAATGTAAATGGCCTAAACGCTCCACTTAAAAGATACAGAATGACAGAATGGGTAAGAATTAACCAACCAAGTATCTACTGACTTCAGGAGACTCACCTAGTACACAAGAACTCACATAAACTTAAGGTAAAGGGGTGGAAAAAGATGTGCCATGCTGCAAATTGACACCAAAAGTGAGCAGAAGTACTTATTCTTATATCAGATAAAACAAACTTTAAAGCAACGGCAGTTCAAAAAGAAAAAGAGGGACATAATAAAATGATTAAAGGACTAGGTCAACAAGAAAATATCAAAATCCAAATCTATGCACACCTAACACTGGAGCTTCCAAATTTATAAAACTATTACTACTAGACTTAAGAAACTAGATAGACAGCAACACAATAATAGTGGGGACTTTAATACTCCACTGACATCATTAGACAGGTCACCAAGACAGAAAGTCAACAAAGAAACAATGGACTTAAACTATACCCTAGAACAAATAAAATTAACAGATATTTACAGAACCTTTGACTCAACAGCTGCAGAATATACATTCTGTTCATCAGCACATGAAACATTATTTAAGATAAACCATATGATAGGACACAAAACAAGCCTCAAAAAATTTAAGAAAATTGAAATGACATCAATTATTCTCTCAGACCACAGTGGGATAAAATTGGAAATCAAATCCAAAAGGATCCCTCAGATCCATGCAAATACCTGGAAACTAAATAACCTGCTGCTGAATGATCACTGGGTCAACAATGAAATCAAGATGGAAATTTAAAAATTCTTTCGACTGAATAATAATAGTGAGACTACCTATCAAAACCTCTGGGATACAGCAAAAGCAGTGCTGAGAGGAAAGTTCATAGCACTGAATGTCTGCATCAAAAAGTCTGAAAGAGCACAAATAGACAACCTAAAGTCACACCTCAAGGAAGTAGAGAAACAAAAACAAACCAAACTCAAATCCAACGAAGAAAAAACAAAGATTAAAGCAGAGCTAAATGAAACTGAAACAAAACAAACAAACAAGAAACTGTACAAAAGATAAGTGAAACAAAAAGCTGGTTCTTTTAAAAGATAAGTAAAATTGATTGACCATTAGTGAGATTATCCAAGAAAAGAGAGAAGATCCAAATAAGCTCAATTAGAAATGAAATGGGAGATATTACAACTGATACCACCAAAATACAAAATATCATTCAAGGGTACTATGAAAAGCTGTATGTGCACAAACCAGAAAACCTACAGGAGATGTATAAATTCCTGGAAATATATAACCTTCTTAGGTTAAACCAGGAAAAACTAAAAACTCTGAACAGACCAATAATGAGTAGTGAGATTGAAATGGTAGTAAAAAAAATGCCAACAAATAAAAGTGTAGGACTAGACAAATTCACAGTTGAATTCTATCAGACATTGAAAGCACTGATACCAATTCTATTGACACTATTTCAAAAGACAGATACAGGGGGTATCCTCCCTATCATTTTATGAAGCCAGTATCACCCTAATACCAAAACCAGGACAGGACATAACAAAAATCAATCAAACAAACAAACAAACAAAAAGCCTACAGACCAATATCCCTGATAAACATAGATGCAAAAATCCTCAACAAAATACTAGCCAACCAAATCCAAGTATATCAAAAAGATAATCTTCTAAAAGATTAATACATTGATATTTTAGATAAAATGATCAAAAACAATAAATAAATTACAATATTAGAAATGGAAAGGAGAGCATCACTATAGATTATGTAAGTATTAAAACATAATATGAAGATTATTCATAAGTTTATGCCATTTAATTAGAAAAATGTGAACAAAATGGACAAATTCATTGTTGCTTACCCAAAGTGAATTCAATCATGGTTCCCAACTCATCTTATGAGGCCATTGTCACTGTGATACTGACAAGAGAAAGTATTAAAGAAAAGCAATTCACAAATTTTCTTTTGGAATATTGCCTCTTTTTACCCCATTGGTGAAGGAGTGATTACTTCCCTAGATTTGTGGGAATGGCCAATACACAACACCCAATATTTGAACAGGTAACATTAGCAGCAGTTTGTTGGTCATACATACTGCCCACAGGAGGAGGACATTGCATGCCATGCAGGGACACAAAGATGTTGCACTCAGAAACAGTGAAAAACTAAGGATTGTGTGAGGCAGACATTATAGTAATGGAAGGTATCCTTGGCTCCTAATGGAGAATATAATTGGATTATTAGAATAATTTCACATTTGGGCAGGAAACTGTAACCCACTAGTTAGGGACAATCAAGAACTGTACCTGGTTCATTTGATAGAACATGTTATTTGGCTACAGCAACTTATCTTCAGAAGCACAGTAGGATGGGAACTTTTCAGTTAGGTCACTCACGGCTCTCAAAATTTTACCAAATATTAAGACAGCAGATAATATTGGAGCTTGATTTTAGTTCTTCCCCTAAAAACACAGACATAAAAAGTTATTAATATAATTTTAGAAAATTATGAGAATAATATATTAAAATATGTAATAATAATATATGTATAAAAACCCAGCCTGATATGTTTCAATTTATTCCAGCAATGTGAGGCTGGATTACCACCTAGAAATGAATCAATGTAATTTATCATTTTAATGAAATAAAGTGGAAAAATACATCATCATTTTAACGGATGTAGAAAAAATTATTTGAAACAATTGTAGAAACTTTCAGGGATGTCAGCAAAAATGATGGAATAAGTATATCCAAGGGATTTTTACTTCACTGAAACAGCAAAATTATGAGGAAAAAAACTGTCAAAATCCACCTAGTTAAAATTCTAGAAAATAGTCAAAGGTTTATGGCAACCAATCAAACACAGTATCAAGATAGAGGCAAAATGATAAGTGAATTTGAAGCATTTTACTTGCCCTTGCCTTACCTCCTTCCCTGGTTTGACAGCATTCTTTTTTTTTTTTTTTTTTTTGAGACGGAGTTTCCCTCTTGTTGACCTGGCTGGAGTGCGATGGCGTGATCTTGGCTCACTGCAACCCCTGCCTCCCGGGTTCAGGTGATTCTCCTGCCTCAGCCTCCCAAGTAGCTGGTATTACAGGCATGTCACCACGCCTGGCTAATTTTTTGTATTTTTAGTAGAGACGAGGTTTCACCATGTTGGCCAGGTTGATCTCAAGTTTTGACCTCAGGTGATCTACCCGCCTTGGCCTCCCAAAGTGTTGGGATTACAGGCATGAGCCACCGCGCCTGGCCGGACAGCATTCTCAAAGACAATAGCCTGCATTCCCTGTGTGGAACCCTAATTTGTGGTTCTGGAATGAGCAAAGCAGACCTTCTTCTCAACAACTGTGTTTGTTTTGACCTGTCTAAAGGCTAACTAAAAAGCTAACGCAAGGTACTTGCCTTTCTTTTGCCTAACTTGAAAATCTCTCGTGGTGGAAAAGTGGCATACTTCATAAATATTGAAAGGCAAATGGCCAAACCACTGCCTCTAGAAACAAAAGATTGCAATTGAGACAAACAATAAACACACAGAAATCCTGGGAGAAAATTCTTGACAGAATTAGAGCATTGAAAAATACCGTGAAAGCTGGGTATTTTAAAAAGCTACATGAATGCCCAGGGTATGATGTATGCTCAAAAAATGATATGATAGAATCTAAGCTTCTAACTCTGCTTTTTAGGCTCTTTGCAGGCAGAAAGTGAAAGCAGAGGCAAGATTGCCTGGCTGGCTAAATAATGAAGAAGTGCCTGATACCTAGCTAATCTGCAAATACAAGAAGAGTCGTTTTCCTTTCTCTTGTTTTTTCTTCTACAAGTATTCAAAAAGAAAATTGCAGTCAAAACACAAAACAGTAGGTGACCACAAACTTTAGGAACAAATTTCAGACATCACAAAAAGTCACTGAGCAAACAACTGCAACATATAGCAAACAACAAAGATAAACCTTAAGAAGGAAAAAATCTTATTTCCAGAGTTATCACATCATATTATTCAAAATGTTTATGTTTTAACAAGAGATTACAAAGCATGAAAAAAAAGTACATATGACCTATTTGCAAGATAACCAAAACTGTCTCTTGAAGCACAGAAAATAAAATTAAATAAAAATTCTCAAGCTAAAAATTACAATAACTGAAACAAAAAATTGACTAGAGAGTTTCAACACATTTGAACTGGAGAAGAAAGCCTTAGTGAACTGAATATTGGTTAATGGAAGTTATCCAGTCTTAGGAGCAGAAAGTAAAGTGAACAAGTAAAATGATCAAAGCCTAAGGAACCAGTGGGATGCCATTGAATGAGCTAATGTACATAATGTGAGTTCTGGTAGGATGGTATAGAAAGAAATGAACATAAGATGTGTTAAGAAATAATGGCTGAATTGTCTTTCAAATTTGATACATGAATGCACACATCTATGGAGTTCAGCAAACTCCAACTAGGATAAACATGAAGGAATCTGGTAGATTATAATCAAACTATCAAAATTTAAGGACAAATAGGGAATCCAGAAAGCAGCAAGAAAGAAGTGACTTCTAAGGCAAAGTAGTTTCCTTTTACCTGTGGTTTTGCTTACTGCAATTTTAGTTACCAAGTGTTACTCATGGGTCAAATATATTGATTGGAAAATTCTAGAAACAATTTATAAGTTTTAAATTATGTAATATTCTGAGTGCCATGATAAAATCTCACATTGCCCTGCTCTGTTTAGCACAGGATGTGAATAATCCCTTTTCCCAGCATAGTATACACTTCCTACCCTTTAGTTGCTTACTAGCCATCTCAGTTATCATGTCAAAAATATGATACAGGTATCTCTGGATAAGGAGAGACTACTGTACAAGAATCTTCAAGATTAACAGCCTATTTCGGATATAAATCTATGGAAGCCAGAAATGAATGCAATGACAGTTTTGTAGTGCTGAAAGAAACTATAGTACCTAGGTTAATATAAAAGTATTAATGAATTTTAGTTTATACCTCCAGTGTTTTCTTATATGATTTTAAAAATCAATGGATAAAAAATAGTGATAATTATGTGAATGTGCACACAATTTATAAAGATGTAATCTGTGACAATAGCAACTTAAAAGGGAGGGATAGAGCTGTATAAGAGCAGAATTTATACGGTAAAACTGAGATGCTATTAGTTCAGGGTAACTGCTAAGAAAATAACAAAATCCAGAAAAAAATGAAAAAGGAATTAAACTGATAAACCATAAAAAATCACTTAAACACAAAAGAAGGTAGTCATGACAGAAGGGAAGGAACAAAAAAGATATGTGATACAGAAAGCAAATATTTTGTAGCATATTGTAGCAATATGATATTTTGCTATTCTGATAACATTAGTTATTTTAAATGTAAATAACTCCATTTACATTTAAGTAGATTTACTCTCCAATTTAAAAACATACATTGGAATAATTTGTCAAAAAACACCATCAACTATGCTGTCTATAAGAGCTCACTTTATACCAAGGACCTAAAGTTTGAAAATAAAAGGATTAAAAATAATATAACATGCAAATGCTAATCCAGAGGCAGTTGGTATGGCTATAGTAATATCAGAACAAAAATAAGATTGAGAATAGGATATGCCAGCTTAATAGATAGGGAGTTTTCTTTTGTGATGATGAAAATGCTTTGGAACTTGGTAGAGGTGATGGTTGTACAACATTGTAAAGGTAGTATACATTTAAAAATGATTACTTTCATGTTATATGGGCTTCATTTTAATATAATGAAAAAAATAAACAGAACCTCTAAAAAATTGGAAGAGAGACAACATCCTCAATCTGATTAAGCAAATAAAAAATAAAACTATAACCAACATACTACTGAATGCAGAAACACTTAGTGCTTTCTTTGTAAAATAAATGAAAAGATTTCCACTCTTTTTTTTTTTTGAGACAGAGTCTTGCTCTGTTGCCCAGCTGGAGTGCAGTGGAGCAATCTCGGCTCACTGCAATCTCCACCTCTAGGGTTCACGCCATTCTCCTGCCTCAGCCTCCTGAGTAGCTGGAACTACAGATGCCCGCCACCACACCTGGCTAATTTTTTGCATTTTTAGTAGAGATGGGGTTTCACCATGTTAGCCAGGATGGTCTCGATCTCCCGACCTCGTGATCTGGCCATCTTGGCCTCCCAAAATGTTGGGATTACAGGCGTGAGCCACCACGCCCGGCCAAGATTTCCATTCTTACCACTTCCATCCAACATTGTATTCATGGTCTTAATACATGAATACAGATAAGAAAATAGAGATAAAGACACACCAATTTGAAATAAAAAAGTAAAACTTTTTTTTGCAGATGAAATAATTATGTAGATTTCTAGAGTCTAAAAAAATTCTAGAGGTAATGAGTGAATTTGCAAGTATATATGCAATTTTATTTCTATATACAAGCAACAAAGAAGTATGTAATAAAATTCTACTAATTGCTTTTATAACACATAAAAAAGAATAGATTTAACAAAAGAAATATAATGCTTATATATTAAAAACTACAAAATATTATAAATGCTATTTATATTCAACCTAAAGATATACATTATTCATAGGTTGGAAATCCTAATATTAATCAGATGAAGTTTCATACAAACCACTCAAAGAATTTCAATAGAAATCTTAGCAGGCATTTTTGATGAAATAGGCATGTGGATCATAAAATCTGTAAGGTAGAGCAGAGTTCTTAAAATAGCAAAGAAATTTGCATTAAAACTTTTATTACCTCACATTTCAGCTCTACCATAAAGTTTCAGTTATCACAATAGTGTGACATTAGTATAAAGATAGAAATATTACAAAATGAAGCATAACAGAAAACCAAGAAATAGATGTACACTTTTATAGTCAATATTTGACAAAGGCTCAAAAGTAATTCAATGGAAAGAAAGATATATTCAACAAACTCTGCTGGAGGAATAGAATATTTATGTGAAATTAGTAAACTTCTATCATTATCTCATGCCATGCACACAAATTAATTTTAAAAATTACAAAAATGTAAATGTGTTGAAAGTATACAACATTTATGATAAAACCAGGAGAAAATCTTGGTGATGTTGGATTAGGCAAAGATTTATTAAAAGATAAAAACATAAAGTATTTACAAAACACTTAAAATGGAATTTCTCAAAAACAGAACCTTATGCTCTTTACATAAAGTGATTTTGAAAATTCAAGTTTCATACTAGTAGAAAATATTTTCAAAACATATAGCTGACAAAGTTGTCATATGAGAATATAAAAGAGGACTTAGAATTCAATAAGAAGACCATTAACTTTACAAAAAAATGGCAAAATATGTGAACAGCCTTTCCACAAAAGAAAATGCATGAATAGCCAATAAAAACATGAAAAGATCATGTAATCAAGATTGATAGTCATCAAGGTAATACAAATGAAAGCCACAATAATATTCTACTATATTGTCACTAGAATGGCTAAAAGTAAATAGGTTTGATATACAGTTCCTTTGGAAAACAGTATGGCTGTATCTTATAAAGCGGGAGGTCCCCAACTGCTGGTACCTGTTCGTAATCTGTTAGGAACCAGGCTGCCCAGCAAGAAGTGAGTGGCAGGTGAGCCAGCAGAGCTTCATCTGTATTTATAGTGGCTCTCCATCACTTACATTACCGCCTGAGTGAGCCCCCCTGTCAAATCAGTTGCATCATTAGGTTCTTATAGGAACACAAACCCTATTGTGAAGTGTGAATGCAAGGGATGTAGTTGCATTTTCCTTATGAGAATCTAATGCCTGATGATCTGTAACTGTCTCCCATCACTCCCACATGGGACCAACTAGTTGTAAGAAAATAAACTCAGGGCTCACACTGATTCTACATTATGGTGTGCTGTATAATTATTATAAATACAATGTGATCATAATAGAAATAAAGTGCACAATAAATGTAATGCACTTAAACCATCTCAAAACCATCTGATGCCTGTGGAAAAAATTCACAAAACTGGTCCCTAGGTCAGGTGCAGTGGCTCACACCTGTAATCCCAACACTTTAGAGGCTGAGGTGGGTGGATCACGAGGTCAGGAGTTCAAGACCAGCCTGACCAAGATGGTGAAACCCCATCTCTACTAAAAACACAAAAATTAGCCAGGTGCAGTGGCAGGCACCTGTAATCCCAGCTACTTGGGAGGCTGAGGCAGGAGAATCGCTTGAACCCGGGAGGCAGAGGTTGCAGGGAGCCAAGATCGGGCCACTGCACTCTAGCCTGGATGACAGAGGAAGACTCTGTCTCAAAAAAACAAAAAAACAAAAAATACTCACAAAACAAACAAACAGAAAACCTGGTCCCTCATGCCAAAAAGGTTGTGGGCTGCTGTTATGAAGTTAAATATATGCTTATCATATGGCCTAGAAATCTCAGAGTTGATCCAAGAGAAATAAAGATCTGTTTCCAGAGAAAAATCTGTAAAAAAGAATATGTATCATAGTATTTTTCTTAATAGCCCAAATTTGAGAAAACTCAAACGTCCATAAATTGACGAATGGAAAAATGGTATTATATCTATACTATGTTTTTCTGCTTTGTTAAATTGCCAAGCACTATACTAGTGCTTAGCAATTATAAACAGAGTATAGATAAATAATTATAGATAAAATAAATTTGATTATATGTTTTGTTTTTATTAATATTCTACTTTGTAGTTTATTGCTAAAGTACTACTAGTGCTTAGAAATTTAACAGCATATTATTGTAAGTGGAACCCATATTTTTTAATATTATATTTTAACACTTTATAATGTTAAATATTAATATAATTAAAATATTATGTTAAGTGGAACACAAAATACTACATATAATATCATTCGATGCATATGAAAATCTAGAAAAATAAAAATTCAGTGATAGAAAGTAGATTGTAGTTGCCAGATTCAGAAGTCAAGGGCCGGGCTCCTCTCTAAAAGCATATGATTGTATTTCTAAAAATTGATGGAAAGGTTCTATATCTTCATTGTGATGGTAGCTACATTATTGTACAAGTTTATCAAATTGTGCATTTAAATTGGTGAATATCTTAACGTAAATTACATATCAATAAAGCTGGGGGAAAACATAACCAGCTATTCACCTGAATGTAAGCACAATGTAGACAAGAAATAGGTCTAATTTAAATCTGAATTCCTCCATTGTGCCCGGCACGTATTAGGTAATTAATAAATGTTAGCTAAATGTCGAAAAAATAACCATGAGTTGCATTATTTCCCATTCATATAAAACATATACTCTTAATTTATTTTACATGTATACTTTATTTTATATCTGTAATTTAATTTATAGGTATACTTTTGTGGACTTTTGAAGTCTATTTGAGATCATATATTTAAGATCAAGTAAGATTTTATATTCCATTAAAAAATGTAAAATTTGTTATATAATTTAATAATACTTGATTTTTTGGTAGTTTTTCATTTTAATATTTTGCATATGATTATTCTAAAATCCATGGCTTACTGATTTGTCAATGAAAGACAGGAAACAAAAACCAGTCACTGAAATCGTGGTGGGGAAACACTGATATAACAGCAATCAACTTTTTTTTTCTGTGTTTATGTTTTCCCTCTTCTGCATGTTTCTTGATTTTTTTTCAGGAATATTTCTTTTCCACAACCATAATAAATTACAAACAAATATTCAAAGAAAACATAAACATAAGCATAACAGAAAAGCTAGCTGGCAAAGGCAATATTTCACCATTAAGTGCCTGAAATAGGAGACGAAAAAGAGAAGCAAAGTGATTGAATATACTGATTGAAGAGAGAGGTGTTAGTATAAGGGAGGAGGTCATCACATAGGGCTTTGGAGCAAGGTGAAATGGACTCTGAGGATAAACTACCACTGAGCATGCATGCACTTTTCTATGGTCTGAATGTGTGTTTCCCCAAAAGGCACATACTGAAATCCTATCCCGCAAGGGATGGTATTAGACAGTAAGGCCTCTGAGGATAAACTACCACTGAGCATGCATGCACTTTTCTATGGTCTGAATGTGTGTTTCCCCAAAATGCACATACTGAAATCCTATCCCGCAAGGGATGGTATTAGACAGTAAGGCCTTTGGGAGGTGATTGGTCATGACTGGCAAAGCCCTCATGAATGGGATTTGTGTCCTTATGAAGAGATCCAAGTGAGACCCCCTTCCTCCTTCCACCATGTGAGGATACAGTGAGACGACACCATCTATAAAAAAGTGGGCCCTCACCCGGGGCCTTGATCATGGACTTCCAAGCCTCTAGAACTATGAGAAATAAATTTCTGCTGCTTATAAGGCATATAGTTTATCATATTTTGTTATGGCATCCTGAAAAGTCACCCTTCTTGCTTTTACCTCTGGTCAGCCTGACGTATAACAGCTCGAAACATTTATAAGCATTACCCCTTCCCTGACACAAACCAATGGAAAACAGGGGCTTTGGACACTCTGTTTGTAGTGGCAGCCTGAAGGGAAACTCTTATCCACTGACAAAGGAGGAATTCAACATAACTGGGGGAGGAATTTCTCACGAACATGGGCAGTGTATGCTGTATGTGACTGTTATTCTTCTTAGATAAAAGGAGAAGAGCCTCTCCAGCCTAATCAGATCCACTTAATGTCATTTTCCAGAAAGAATGAGAATCCTCCTCAAGGAGGCAAGAAGAAATAGTCTGCTTGACATCCAGATGCCTCATTACAATGAATCAACACTAGTCATATTGTAACTTTATCAGGAGAAAAAAAAATATCTTTCCCATTATATCCGTATGGAACTCAGAAATTTCTTGGCTGTGTAAATTAATTTTTGAACATTTCAGTTTTTTCAGTGGTAATTTGGCAGAGTTAGCAACCTCTGCTAACTAAGTCATTGCTCAAAAAGAACAGTTCATCTCTGTTGGGTTGTGCATCATTTTGGTCTGTATGCCACTCTTGTTTCTCTGCTTTCCACTTTTATGCCTTAGAATTCAGCTGTGTGTTGGTGCATCCTGATAGTATTTCTTTTGCTTTCATTTAAAATGAAAAGCACCAGCTGTTCGGATGTCTTATTGTACATCTGTCTTCTCTGTCTGCTCTGCTTTCTAAATTCACAATTCTGTCAGCATCATTACTATTCTTTCCATTTACTCTGGGTCATAATTTTAGCGTTAGTTTGACTTCTATCACTGTTTTATCTCCCATCAGTCACCTTGTTTATCAACTTTTCTCTGTTAATTGAGTTTCAGGTTCATCTTTTATATTTGTCTACCACAGACTATTCTCCAATCTCTCTTTTTTTGTATTTATCAGACAACTTAATACTCTCCAAACATTGCTTTTAGCATTTTGTTCTCTTGGTTAAAACCTCTTGCTGCTTCTGCATTGCCTAGTATATCAAATCCAAATGACTCAAATTCTCACCTAAGGCTTCTTATAACCTGAAATTCTCACACTGATCCTCTCCTCTACCTTTCAATGCTCATATCTGCTTGTGTATCTAAATGTATAGTCCTTTTTAGACTCTGTGAAGTCTTATCCAGGAGAAATGAGTCAACTAATTACATGCATATTTAAGCCACACATTTTTTTTCACAAAGACATACAGTCAATTCTCATTATTTGCAGTAGTCATGTTCTATAAAGTTGCTGTGAACATTGAATTACTGATTACTTCACTCTTACTCCAAAGGGAAACTATATAGCTATACATTTATCTACCTATATCTATGTCTGTGTCTACACACAGACATGCCCGTACAAATCACCTATAAAGTATAATCTTAATTTCTAGGAAAAAAACTCATCCTGGTAGATTCTGCATTCTTTATAAAAGATAAAATTAGAATCAAAAGTATTAAGTGGCTTGTCTGAAGTACCCCACTGTAGGTGTCAGAGTTGAGATTCAAACCCTGTCCAATTGTCTTCAGAGCTGGAGCTTCTTGCACTACATTGCACTGCCTCCTACCATCTCCATCTTCTGGTAACCTCCGTATGAGATCTTAGACAAATTGCCTTGTTTGACTTAACTGCTAACATGGTCCTAGGCTCACTTAAACTTTGCTACTCCATGAATGTCTGCAAATGACCATGAAAGCACTGTATTGATTTGGGGATTACAAAAAAACTTTATACAGGAAGAACCCACTAATAATAAAGATCCACTGTAAACTGTATATGCCTCTTCTGGGAGCTCCTAATTTAATATCTGCGTCAGCAGCAAAAAAATTATGCATTTTCAGTAATTTCATTGTGCTTCATGTGGCAATTTACTATATGAACAATGTAAGTGTGTGTGTACGGATAAGGGTACAACACTTGTCTTTATTAAACAGTTACTACATAGCCAGCTAGATTGCTGTAGAAATTTCACCCAGTGCTCATTCAGCAGACATCAATATGAAATGTAAGTACCAATGTTTGTATAGAATGTATAAGACTATTTTTAGTCTTATAACTCAATATTTAGAATTTTGGGGATGTTTTTGTTGAAAATCTTTGTAGATGTATATTATATTTGTGCTGATAATTATAATGATGTCTAATGTTTATTGAATATCAACTACACCATAGGCCCTATGCTCAGCACTTCACATACACTAGCTTTCTTAGCATTTACATCAATATGCCCTGTGTTCTCTCATTTTTTACATGTCAAACAACTTGGCCGTGGCAAAGCAAGCATTATAATCAGGTTTTTCTGATTATGGAATTTGAGCTTAGAATCTCCTTGTACGTGGATAGCTCCACATTCTTAGCCAATCATTTCTATAAAATTAGAGAATATTCTGTTAAATTATTCTTCTTAATATGAAGAAGACTTCCAAATCTTAAAAAAAAATTAGTTAGTATTGGTTGAACAAAACAAAATCGAAAGCCTCAGAAAGGACATAGGACTTTAGCTTACAGATGAGAGCTAGAAAGAGTATTGTTCCACACAACAAGGAGAAAGAAATACAAACCTTGCATGATGTCATCAGAGACCTGAGGTCACCAGACAAAAAATTACTTTAAATCCGGAGGGATACATTCCCCTATCTGGAGAAAAACCTTTTTCTCTTCAGGAGCCCAAAGCTGATCATAGGAAATACCGATGAGAATCTTAAAAATAAAACAAAACCCACCCAATTTTCTCAATGGTACTGGGTCAAGGAATAATAGGCACTGCCAAAATCAGCCCAGATTCTCTCCCATATGAAACAGAAACTTTTGTTTGTAGAAAGAAGTCCAAGAAAATAAAATCCTCCTGAGGGCACTGGTAAGGTATTCACTGGAGTTGGGGAGCAGGAGAGCAGCCCCCACAGCAAATCTCTTTTCTCTGTTATCTACTCAGTGAAACAGTAGCCTCACATTGTGGGGGGAATGGCAACTGGACTATAACCTGAAGGTACTGGGGAAACCATGAAAACCCACTGCAGATGGAGGAAGAGGCACAGCAAATGAAAGAAAGAGAGAAATACCTCATACTTGGAAAAAGGACAGATATACTTGCTAAGCCCAGGATTACTTTTAGAGAATGGCAGGAATACTTGTGAAGGCCAAACCCTAAGACCAGTGTTCACATGGCCTACTTCAGACTGAGATTTATCAGAACATTAAAGAATGACCTCCCTAGCTCAGTCCTGAAAACATAAAAACAGTAAGTAATAATGCAGTCAAAATACATTTGGGAAAGTTGCAAGTGACAGTGGCTTGGTGTGAACCACAAAGGGAAAGCCGAGAGTTTAATTTGAAGACCCAAAGGCAATGAGAAAGCAGCGCTCAAAACTAACTCAACCTGTAACCACATAAACACGAAAGCTCACACTAAAAGCCTATTAGAAGGAATGACATACTCATTTCTGTGCAGAAACAATAGATATCTCAGTTTTTATCTTATACAACATTTCTAGCTTTCAGCCGAAGTTCCAAGGCATACAAAAAAGCCAGAAAATCCCACTTAAAAAAGACAAAGGGATAATCAAACCCAGGCTCAGATATTTCACAGATATTTTAATTGTCAAGCAGGACATTTAAATTAAGTAGAATTAATATGTAAAGTTTGCACTAAACAAAGTAGATAGCACACAATACCAGATATCTAATTTCAGGAAACAGATGGAAACCAGTAGAAAGCGTCAAGCAGAAATATTGGAAATCAAAACTACAGTAATGGAGGTGAAGAACGCCTTTAATGAGCTTATCAGTGGACTCAACACACAAGGAAAAAGTCAGTAAGTTTGAAAATAGGTCACTAGAAATTACTCAGATTAAAATACAAAGAGAAAAAAGAAAGAAGATCGTGGGGTTAGGGAAGATACAGAGCATGCAATAACTATATGATCGTAGCAAGAGTTTTAATGCATATGTAATTAAAATCTCTTCCCAGAAAGTAAAGAAAGAACATTAAAAAATTTGAAGAAATAATAAATGACTAGTTTTTAGTGGCCAGCACCAATTTACAGAATCAGAAAGTTCAGAGAATATTAAGGAGAAAAAAAAATCAAAAACAAAAACAAAAACAAAAAACAAAAGGCAAACCAAAGCATTCAAATTGTTGAAGAAAATTTATGACAGAAAAAAAGTGAAGGTAGCTAGAGAACAAACACGTTACCTAAAAAGTAATAAAGATAATAGCTACAATAGGCTTTTTGTTAGAAACTCTACAACCAAGACAAATATTTGGTTTTGGTCTATAACCAAGACAAACTCTCCAACCAAGACACATTTAAAGTGCTGAAAGAAAAGTGAAAAGACTATCAAATGAGACTTCCATGCCTAATGAAAATATTCCTCAAACTAGAGTTTTTAAAGACCTGATTCATAGGAAGTATTAAAAAAGTATTCAGACAGAAAGAACAACACCATTAGAAATACTGACCTGCACAAACTATTGAAGAGTATCACATATGGGATAAATGAAGATTAAGAAATATATTTTTACATTTTTTAGTTCATCTAACATATAAATGATTGCTTAAAGCAATAACTGTAACAATGTAGTGTGTGTTTATGACTTACATAAGAGTGAAATATATGAATACAATGACAGAAAGGATGGACGATGTTAACTGAAACTATGTGTTATAAAGCTTTTAATATTACACAAGTAGCATTATAATATTAAGTAATACAATATTCAAATTGTTTTTACAATACATTGAAAACTGTGGGGTAACCACACAATGTTAAGGAAAAGAGATACACATAATAAATTAAGAAATGAGATAAACAAAATCATAAATATATTCAGTTAAACTGATGGAGGGCAGAAAAACAGAGGGAAAAACAAACAAAAAATAAAGCAAAATGGAAAACAACTAGCTAGATGGTATATTTAATCCAACAATATTGATATTTACTTCAAATTCAATGGTTTAAACCTACCAAGAACTTACTGGACATGTAAGAAAAAACAACTATATTTTTTCTACAAGAAACTGTCTTTAAATGTAAAAACACATAGGTAAAAATTAGAAGGTTTAAAAATATGTTCCATGAAAACATTAAGCAAAAGAAAGCTAAAAGAGATATATTTATCTTAAGTCAAGTCAAGAACAAAGAATGGTTTTAGGAATAAATAGAGACATTCCACAGTGAAAAAGGAGTCAGTCCTCCAAGAAGAAATAATCCCAAATGCATCTTCACTTAAGAAAAATATGTCAGGCAAATAATTGTGGATATAAAAGGAGAAACAGATAATTCCACAGCTGTATTTGGAGACTTCAACTCTCCTCTTTCATTTGTTAAGAGAATAAGTAGTGAGAAAATCAGGAATGATATAGATGGCCTGAAATCTTTTCTCTAATTTGATTTAATGGATATTAGAAACAGTGTCCATAGTAGAATATTTATAAACTTTAGACCATATCTTAGCAAATGGAAAGTAATAGAAATTTTACAAAGTATTTTGTTGAAACATCAAAATATTAAATTAGAAATTAATTACAAGATGATATCATAAAAACTCCCCAAATATTTAAAAATTTAACAACATATTTCTATATATTCCTCGGGCCAAAATGTTTCAAAAGACACTAAAAAGTAGTTTTAATTACATGAAAAGAGAAATACAACATATTAAAATACGTTGGTTGAAGCAAAAGCAGTGCTGAAAGGAAATGTGTAATGAATATGTATATTAGAAAAGTTCTAAAGCCACTATCTCAAACTTCTATCAGAAGACTCTAGAACAAAAATAAAATTAAACAAAAAAAAAATGAAGGTGGAAGAAAATGCTACATGTTAGAGAAGAAAACAATAAAATTGAAAAGATAAAAATGGTGAAAACTAATGAAACCAATAACTGATTAATAAAATTAATAAACTTCTAGCCAAACTGACCATGAAAAAACAAGACGCAAATTACTAATATCAGGAATAAAATGAGAGACATTACCCTTTATCTCACAGACTATAAAAGCCTAACAAGTAAGTACCACAAACAACTATATGACCATAAATTCAACAACTTAGCTGAAATAAATGAATTCTTTGAACAACATAAACTGTTATCCAACACAAACTGCTTGTGCTCTATAAATACAACAAGACCAGTTAACAGCACATCTGTTTACAGCATGATTTACTAAATACTTTAAGCTCACTTTTGAAACCTTGTACTCGGGGAAAAGATAATTATTTTTTATATTTTTAGAATATTAGTACTCAATGGATATGCACTTGGTCGCCCAAGAACTCTGATGGACATGTGCAGGAAGATTAATGTTGTTTTCATGTCTGCTGACACAACATTCATTATGCAGCCCATGGATCAAGATGTAAATTTGATTTTCAAGTTTTATTCTTTAAGAGATATATTCCATATTTCATAAGGCTATAACTGCCTTAGAGAGTAATTTCTCTGATGTACCTGAGCAAAGTAAGTTGAAAACCTTCTGGAAAGTATTTACCATTCTAGATGTCACTAAGGAAATTCATAATTCATAAGAGGAGGTAACAATATCAACATTCATAGGAGTTTGGAAGAACTATATTACAATCTTCATGGTTGAGTGAGAGGGTAGGGCTTCAAAGGGAGAAATAACTGTAGATGTAGTGGAAATGGCATCACAAGAGAATTAAAATTAGAAGTGAAGTCTGACGATGGGACTGAATTGCTACAGTCTCATGACAGAACTTTAAAAGATAAGGAGTTGTTTCTTAGAGGTAGGTAAAGAAAGCAATTTCTTAATCTGCAATCTACTCCTGGTGAAGATGTGAATATTGTTTAAATGAAAACAAAGGATCCTAAATATTACATAAATGTAGTGGATAAAACAGTGGCAGAGTCTGAGAGGATTGACTCCAATCTTGAAGAAGTTCTATTGTTGGTAAAATGCTATCAAACAGTATTGCATGCTGTAGAGAAAAAATTTGTGAGAGGAAGAGTACATCGATATAGCAAACTTCATTGTTGTTTTATTTTTAAAAGTTGTCACAGCCACCTCAGCCTTTAACAATCACCAACTTGATCTGTCAGCAGCCATCATTATCAAGGCAAGAGCTTCTGCCAGCCAAAAAATTACAACTTACTAAAGATCAGGTGATAATTAGCATTATTTAGAAAGAAAGTATTTTTATTTAAGGTATGCACTTTGTTTTTAGACATAATGCTATTTACACTTATTAAGTAATAGAATAGTGTAAATATAACTTTTATATGCACTGAGACACCAAAAACATGGTGTAAGTTACTTTGTTGTGATACTTGCTTTATTGCAGTGGTCTGGAATCATACCTGCAATATATTCAAGTTATGACTATAATGAGACTGACTGGCTGTTCATCATGTAATTGAAGAAAGTGGGGAAAAATAAAGGTGAGCTCATGCTTTTGAATTCCCAGTTAAAATATCCCATAAGTGCTATGAAAGCTTCTATATATGCCTTGAAGAAGACATTTATTTCCTGGATCCTTAGAGCTGAGGTTGCTGAAAATTAAACCCATAATCTTATGGTGTGATTGGCTGAATTAAAATGCAAACTGAACTTCAAGCCTTGTAGGGTATTTACTTTTCAAGTGAAGGCATGGATTTTGTAGGAATGAGATCCTTAATGTTGTATGTGAATTAGTGGAAAAAATCTTATGAAGCTGGGAACATTGTGCTCCACTGCCCTAATGAGTCTTCTTTGCCAATGAAAAAGACCTCCCCATACTCACTGAGAGTATCATCTCCACCCACAATGGAACTGGAAGACAGAATATCAAACCAAACGGGATTTTTTAGTGAGTTTTTTTAATCTTAATATCAAATGAAATATTCTTTTCTGGGTTGTAGACTTGCCTGGGACCCATTATATTTTTTCTTTATGTCTACTTTCCTCACTGGAATGGAAATATCTATCCTATGGGTGTCCCACCACTGTATTTCGGAAGCACATAACTTGTCTGGTTTCACAAGTTCACAGCTGGAGAAAAAATTTGCCTCAGGATGAATTGTACCTCGTGTCTCACCTATATCTGATTTATTTATGTAGATAAGAACTTGAACTTTAAAATATAAATTTGATGTTTGAATGAACTAAAGGTGTGGGGGACATTGGAGTAGGGCAAAGGTATTTTGAATATAAATAGATCAAAATTTGATGGAGAGGTGAGGTGAAAAATGTTATTTCCTCAATTATATCTCCCCAAATTTATATATTCAAGCCCTAATGAACAATGTGACTATATTTGGAGAGAGGCTCTATAAGGAGCTAATTAAGGTTAAGTGAGTTTGTAAAGTGGACTCTTTATCCAAATGGATTAGTGTCCTTAAAAAAGAGATATCAGAGAGCTCACATTATTTCTCTCTCCACATTCACACTCTAAAGAAAGGCTATGAGAGGACACAGTGAGAAAATGGTCATCTGTAAACCAGGAAGAGAACTTTTACCACAGAATGAACTCTGCTAGAATTTTGATCATGAACATTCTAGCCTTCAGGTATATGAGAAAATAAATTTATATTATTTAAGCTATAAAGTCTGTGGTATTTTGTTATGGCATTCTAGACAGAAAACTACACTAAAGATAGTAAGTTTCTAAAGAGTGCTTCTGAACATTATTACACTGTTCATATTATACCTTTATTTTTATCCCATATTTGATGAGTGTGTCATTAGAAAAAGTATAATGTCAAAGTTCAGTAATGAACAACATTTAGTCCTATATTATCAGTAAAAAATGGGCATTCTTTAGCTTCTGTATTATCATCACCTTATACTGTACCATTTCTGCAGTGCTCAAGACAATTTGTCATATCCTTATATGTGTACATGAAGAGCAGATTCAATCACGTGTGATAATTTATCCTCTCAATTCCAAAAGAAGTTTTGCTTTCTACATGCGCCTTCGGTAAAATTTTCAAACTAATATGCTATTTATGTTTTGAATTTAATATTATTATTTTAGTAATTTTAGAAATTCTGACTAGAGCTTAACAGGATAAACTATTCAGTAATAGATATGCACAACATGCTTAAAAGATGGAACAGTTTTGCTTTTTTTACTTGCTATGTAAATCAATTATGTTACAATTTCAATCACACACAATTTCATATTGGTTTTACATTTTTTAATTTCACTAATAGATGTATAATAAATAAATATTGCCATTAATAAGTGACCTTTAAATAATTGTAAATCAGTTATTAAAATTATTAAAATTAGCCATTTAAATTTAACTATGATTCAGAATTAGAATCAGTATTAACATAATTCTTCCCAATCTTATTTTCAACATGTTATTATTAATAGAAATTTTTTTAAAATATTCAAAATATTATGTTAAAAAATATTTAAAAATGTTTAGTGGTTTTGGCTTGGGCTGTACCTTATGTTATGAATGTGGAAATGGAAAACACTAAAGATAAAGAACAACTATACATTTGAAGTTTCACTAACAGAATATTAACTGTGTTCTGTGTACTTAAATATCTAATTTATTTTCTGTAGTTCTTCAAGCAAAAGTAAGAAGTGTTTGTTTCACAAGGTATTTTTTATTGTGAGATTAGAAATAAAATTACAAGTGTGTTTATCAATTCAATATTAAAGCTGAGTCATATATTATCTTTGCAATGTATGCCTAAAATGAATACAATATTCCACATCCAAGCAATTTCCTTCTTCATAAATTCTGAACTTTAAGCCTAGAATTTGATCTATGTTTTTCTCATAAGTATGTCTGGTGTTACTCATGTAGAATGTAAATCAAACTTAATTTATTCAACGTATTGGTGACTTGAATCACTCTCATATTTGCATCCTTTAGGCAATCTGAAGGCGCAAAGATTAGACAAGATATTTATTTATTTTATCAACAACATTTTATTGAGAACTTTATATACGTTTTGCCTTTTTTGGTGGTAGAAACACAGCAGTTAGCTAAATAAAGTTTCTGCTCTAACTGATCCTGTGCTTAACGTTAACAAAGTTTATATGTACAGACCTTCTTAGAGTATTTATATGTATTATGGAGGCATAATAGATTTATGTAAGATGGCAGAAATTAATTTTCAATTAAATGAGACATGAAAATTACACTTAAAAATGATAAGTTGAGAGAAAATCCTAGCCATCAATAAAATCTACATGGGTATCCAATGATACAATCTGTTTTTGTCTCATTGAAAATGACTCATGCTATTATTTTTACATCTCCTCCAAAACTAAAGTTGAAATTTAATTGTCATTGTTAACAGTGTTGAGAGGCAGGATCTTTACGAGATGACTAGATTGTGAGCACAATGGATTATTGCCATTATCCCAGGAGTGGGTTAGCTCTGTCTAGCATATTGCTTATTCTTACACTTTCCTGCTTTGGGATATAATCTAGCAGGAAAGCCTTGTCAGATGTCTGTGCCCTGCACTTGAACTTCTGGCCTCCAGAACTGTGATTTGAATAAATTTCTATGTTCTATAAATTACTCAGTCTGTGGCATTTGGTTATAGCAGTAGGAAATGGACTAAAACTTACTAGAACTGTAACACAGATTTTTAGGAGCTAAGAATCAAACAGTGGTACTTAATACATTTATCTGTGGTATTTAATAGAGGTCCATTAATGTTTTATATTTCCTCTACTTTTTCAATCATCAGCATCATTACTTTGCATCATTATTATTGATGTTATCATTGTCTTTATCTTTTTTATCAATACTCTTATCTTATTGTTTTCACCAGATATTTATTGAGTGCTTGCTATGTTGTTAAGATATTAGGTGTTATATGTACCAAACTAAGGTCACAATTCATCTCAGTAAATAGATCCACAATTTATCCTACTGATCAAAGCAAGCATTTTGTATATGTTTCAGACTCCTCATTGCTATCACACCTTGCATTAAAGCAAATGCTGTCTTTTGTTGTTAAGATATATCCTAAATCTTACTCCTTCTTACTTTAGCCTATTCCATTCTATTTCAAATCATCACCATCTCTCACTACTTGTTACTAAGCTACTGAAATACTTATCCAAGTGGTTTTTCTGCTTCCATCCTTGTTTTCTACAATGTATTCTCCACATAGCAGCTAAATGGCTTTCTTAAAACAAATCATATGAGGCCATTCTCTTTTCTGGACTCACCAAAGGCATCTTTAGCATATTGAATTAGTTTCATATTGCTGCTAAAGCCAATTACCATACACTTAGTGACTTAAAACAACACAAATTTATTATCTAAACTCTGGAGATCAGAATTCAAAAACGGGTTTCACTGGGCTAAAATAAAGATGTCATTGGTGCTATGTTCCTTGTGGAAGCTCTAGCAAAGAATCTGTTTCTTTGACCCTTCCAACTATTCACACCCTTTGCTTCATAACCTTTCTTCATCTTCAAAGAAAGCAATAGTCACTGTTTTTCATGCCACATCACCATGACACTGACTATTCTGCCTCTCCTTTATACATTTAAAGACCCTTGTGACTACATTAGTACTATTCAGATAATCCAGCATAATATTTTTATTCTAAGGTCACCTAATTAACTACCTCAATTTCATCTAAAATTTTAAATTCCCATACCATATACTGTAAGATATTTATAAATAGTGTGTATTAAAATTTGGACCACTGGGAACCACTGTTCTGCTTACCAAACATATTTATTACAATTTCACATAATCTGCTCCAAACCATCTTTCTGATTTTATTTTTTACCACCCTGTCTAATTCAATGCATCTAAGACATGATCAACTCTTTGTTCCTCAAAAATGTAAATTTTATTCAAATGGCAGGGCCTTTATGCCATCTTTTCTCTCCTCCTTATATAGTCTTCTCCAAGATACATGCTTCAATCCTGCATCTGCTTCATTTTACTTGTTTAAATTATCTTTTTTTTAAAAGTCCTTCACTAACAAACCTACCTAATATAATATCTTCTTTCACTATCCTTTTACTCTACCTTTATTTGTTTATAATATATATGTAGCTTTTTTATTATTATCAGTATCCCTCATAAGAATTTAAGTACTGTGATGGTTAATTTTAGAAGTTAACTGTAAAGATTACCTAGATAGTTGGTAAAGCATTATTTGTAGTTGTGTCTGTGAGGGTGTTTAGGGAAGCGATTGGTATTTGAATCAGTAGAATGAGTAAAGATTTACCCTCAGTGTGGACAGGCATAATCCAATAGGCTGAGAGCCTCAATAAAACAAAAGAGTAAGTAAACTTACTCTCTCACTCTGAGAGGGAGCTGGCACACCCTCAGAGCTCGGACACACTTCTTCTCTTGCCCTTGGACATCAGAATAGCAGGATCTCCCGAATACCAGATTCTCTAAGCTTCGAACTGTGGGATTTGCACTAGTGGACTCAGGACTTACCCCTGAGAATCCAGGGTTTCCAGGTTTATGACCTCCAGCTGAGAGTTGTATCATTGGCTTTACTGATTCTGAAGATTTTGGTCTTAGGCTGTACTTGCTACAATCATCTCTGGCTCTCCAGTTTGCAGATGGTTTCTCCTGAAGCTTCTCAACCTCCATAACTGTGTGAGTCAGTTTCCCTAATATGTTTTCTATCTATCATTTTCTATCTATCTATCTATCATCTATCTATCTATCTATCTATCTATCTATCTATCTATCTATCTATCATCTATCTCTATCTATCTATCTATCTATCTATCTATCTATCTATCTACTATCTATCTATCTATCTATCGTTTATCTATCTATCTAATCAACGTCTATATCCTATTGATTCTGTCTTTGTGGAGAACCCTAATACAAGCACTATGAGAACTGAGACTTAGTATGTTTTGGGTTCACCTTGGTGTTCTTAGTATCTACAAAAGTGACTGTTGGAGACTAGGCACTTAAACATTTGTTATATCAATGAAGGAATGTGCAAAAGCTTTTTTTTTATGCCAAGGTCTATAGTGGGCACTTCACATGTTAAATCTTATTTAATCTGCACAGTTTTCCAGTGAGGTCACTTATTGCCTATATTTCATAGCCAAGAAAACTCTGTTTCATCGAAATTAACTTATTTGAGACTACACAGTAGCAAAACTTGGATGCAGACTCAGCTACATCTGGCTTTATATTTCGTATTGTTCCACATGGAAGTCTATACATCTACAAGACTATGCTACCTTACAGAGATAAGTAATTCTAGTCCATGCTTTAAAAGCAACTGTCATCTTATTGTAAATGTAAGATATTTAATTTAAAGGGCATAAATTAGGGTACAGAAAAAAATTAGAGTATGGAAAATATAACACTGTACTTGATACGTAATTTACTCTCATAAATTTTATTGAATATTTGTTGAAAATAAATTTCTTTAAGGTCAGACCAGTGAAAAAGCCACTGAAAGTTGGAGTCGTCTGTGAAATCATCACAGAAGCAGTGAATTGGAGTAGCATGAGAACAAAAATTTCATACATGTTGCAATACCTACTAATTTTAGAATTCTTTGATGATTTACTTGGCAGATGAATTTGCCTATGTCAAATAGAGATAGAACAGAGAAACCTTGGTTATAACACAGTTAGGACATTTTATAGTACAGTGGTTCTCTACCCTGGAGTAACACTATAATCACCTGGGAGTCTTTACAAATACTGCCCCATGGGTAATTCCCCCCAGAGACAGAGATTCAGTTGACATCAGAATCTTTGAGAGTTTCCCAGGTGATTCTAATGTTCAATGTCGAGAACCACTGCCATAATATCTGTGTTGGTGAGAATATTGAATGAAGGCCAGGGGCTTCATCAGGCATGTAAATACTTTGACTTATTAAATTAATGGTTACTTTAAACTGTGCTTTGGCAAAGAAAGAACATTTAAATAGAAGCTTTGTACTGTCTTCAGTGTAATTTCTGTATGTAATAAACATTAAGTGATACATTTATTTATCCAATAATTCAGTTATGATAAACCTATGCATATCTTTGCATTAATGATATAGATTAATATAGTGATGTAGTTAAAATTATCTCTTTGTGCACTCAAAATAAGATATGACTTACTTCAAAAATCTCAGAAGTAATGGTTTCTTTCCTTTTCTCTAGGTAGAAGTTTTTTCCATATGGTTCTCATAGAGTAGCAATTTCATTTAAAATCACAGATAGCTTATCAATGTAGCAATCTGAACAACTGAGCACAAGCATTACCTAAAATGTCTTAGGTTATTTTGCTGTATCACTTATTTTCTTTGAAAGAGATTGCTTCTTCTAAAATGCCTGTATGTAAGTGCTTTAGGAGTAATGGGGAAACCACAGTCGATTGTGACATAGGTCTGGCCAAGGCTGACCAAGATAGATGTGAAGTCCCTCTATGGAGCGCTGCTTAACCTCAGCTTGGTGACAAACTGCTCAATTGTCATTGCTGCCAGAGTTGTTTGAAATATCAGTAGAAAGTTACTCCTTGAAATTAGGACACCCAAATTCAGATGACCCTTTAATAGAAGAAGCCCTCTTTTGTGTATACAGTTGCTGTTGCTACAGAGGACTGAGGATAAAGAATTGTTTGACACATCGGGTCGTTCTGCTTAGCTTGAGAATCTGTAAGTTAAAAAAAAAAAAAAAAGCTTTTAAACTTTCACATTGTGGTTGTGTATTGAAGCCATGCTTGTAATCTGACTCTTGGCCAAGAGGACCCACCCTGAAGGAACTCAAGTCAAGTAGATCACCTGCTTGTGGTCTTCCCTTTGGGCCTCTCCTGGCTGCTGGGAGCAGTAGCTACTGGCTATGTTAATAGAGAAACCAGTGTTTCATATGAAACAGAAGAGTGAATGCAAGCTCCTTTCACTTTCTATTGTTTTTTTTAAATCATAATTTCCCTAAAGCCAGATACACTGAATGACAGAATACAACCTAACTTTATTTTAACATGATTATATCTTAATAATTGTAAATGCCAATGCAATTATTCCTCTTCCAGCCAAGAATAAACCTAAGAATCTAAGAAAAAGGAAGCAAAAAATGACGGCTTTATAGAGTAGGTTGAAGGCTATATAATAAAAAGTTATCATAACCTCCTAATGGAATGACACTGAATATCTGAATCTGCAATTGAATATCTAAATCTGGTCAGCTATACATACATCACATAAAATAGCAAATAGCACTAAATCAGTATAAATTTTTGTTCTCTGGTTAAATTTACAAGTAAAACACTCCTTAAATCTGTGATTTTTCTTAAGAAATATTTTTTCCTTTTAGATTTTTATACATTTGCTCTTTATATTGTATTGAAAATTTTCATGTGTGTGTTCTTTCTATATTCCTCGCTGAGTGATCTGCAGTGTGCAATGAAAGGGTCTGTGTTCAGGCAGAATTACAATTGAATGCATAATCAAAAACCATGATGAAAAATTTTATTCAAAATGTAGAGCAAAAAGAGACAGGACTACAGTATGATAAATTTCTGGGCTTTTATAATCATAGATTCTCCATGAACTTTTCAGTTTAGTTTTCTGTAAGTGACTTATTTTTAAGCAGCAGACTTTTTACACATTACATCTTTACTGAAAAGGCAGTCATGAGAATACGTTTGAAATTATGTGCTGAAGTTAAAATCAAATGACAATAGTCGTGACTGAGAATGGAGAAAAAGCGAAAGAAAAAAAAAATAAAGGTAGATCTGTAGATTTGGGGATGTGACTAACCAGTTATCAAGATAGTAGAATACTTTGTTGCTATAGCAAAGGGACAGCAAAATGGACATGTTGACATTAACTCAGCAGGTGCAGAAACCAATCAATGCCTTCAAGTAGGTGCTCTGTAAATGTTATTGAGAATTAATGTTGACTTCAAAAATATACCTTAGGGAGGGACTGAGCCAAGTGAATGAATATTCAGCCACTTAGTCATTTAGTTGCTTGTTTTCTTCCTTTGCCTCTTTATGTATTAAGCAAACTACCTACGGCTGCATTTCAGGCTGCACTGTTAATTTTCTATTTTCAGCTGTGGCCTCACAAGTACTTGACTTACTTTTGCAATGGCTGTGATATTATTATTAAAATTTATAAAAAGGATTCTGACATTGTTTTATTATTTTGGATTTTATTTTCCAACAATGAAAGTTAAATTGTGGCTCATTACCAAGTTCCTTTATCTTAAGGATATCATAAAAACTTAATTTCATAGATTAATTAGAATTGAGATGGAGATGAAATCAGTATATTTTACTTGAAACTTTTATATATTTTTTTCTTTTTTCCCTTTAACTCTACTACTAGTCTTCTTTTATCACTTATTTCTTTCTTTATCAGTTCCTGCTTTCCCAAACATTCAGATCCCTTGTTTTCTAGCAATGTTGTGGTCATAGGAAACATGGCTGGGTCTTGGATGGGGCAAGCCAATGACCAGGGGAGTAAGGTGGTTAGCCATGGTTGTATATCATTGTGTATATACTTTGTGTATACATTGTGTATATACATTGTGATATACTTTGTGTATATCATTGTCTGCTAGAGATGTTAGACATGTTGAAAGTACTGGCTTGATTTTTTTAATGTTTTAAAAGGGAAAGTTATTGTTTAAAATGAGAAAGTTTTAATAGAATCAGAAAGGATAGAAAATAAAGGCTTTATGATAATGAAAGTTTTTATTAATAAGTTTTATGAAAAACACATCTAAATTAGCACAACTGTACCAAATATATGTGATTTAACCATATAGATCTTTGGCCTAGTTCACCAATTTTAGACATAAAACATAAAAATAAGAAAATAAATACCATTATAGCAATTTGTATAATTACACTCTATTTTATACAAAAAAAATTGTTTTCATATCACTTTCTTGGCAACAACATGAACCCAAATATTAAAAGCTAAATATAACATTTCCTTGGAAGGGGTAGAAATGCAATTATTTTCCTAAAATTACTATTGATTACATAAAATCATTTTATAAAAGGTCATTTCAAATTGGTCATATTCATTATTCAAGGGCCTATTATTCTGATTTGAATTGAAATGCACATTTCTTAGTATCACATATATAGAATAATAAATTATGTATTATTAAAATCTCAACTTTTGCTTTCAATAAAAATTGCAAAAATTAGCATGAGTGAGTTGAAATAGAAATTTTAAAATATATTAATTAATTGGAATGTTACTTCCCAAAGTTTTTAATTAAATTTTATTCATGGGCTTTTGGAACTTTCTGTGGGAAATGTGGTAAAAACTGTTAGTTATCTATTGAAAATTCAGTCTTTCTTTTTGTATCAGTTTATGAGCAGACACAGGAATATATTCAGCTATTTACATTTGCTTCCCTTGGAAAATGTAAGTGGTCAAACATATCTTACAAAGTCATTGGCTAGGTCTTTGATAAAGAATGTTTACTTAGCTGGAAGACTCTTTCACTTTCCTCTTCTTGTCTTCCTGGGTATGCTTAGGAATTAATGGTTGGTACTTTACCATTATGGTTGGTGTCTTGCCATTTATGAGTGCCAACAGTTGTCTCTTATTCTTGCTCTTACCAAATAGGTCTTACAATGTAAGGGTTTCATGTGGTTAACGTACACAAAAAGATGTGACTGTTCCAGTCATGGGGAGTAAAAGCTTTGGGAGTTAAAGCCTTGATATTTACTGATTTGAATGTGAAATTAAAATATGTATTAATGAGTAGAAAGTTTAACATGCAGGCATATAATCACATTAAGGCAAATATAATTTTTAAAGTTTTAAAGGACTATTTATTTTGATGTTTTCTCACTTAAAAAAACATATTAGTATTCATTGTCTACTGTGAGTTTTTTCTGTAAAAGTTCAATATATTTTTCTCTATCATGTTAATTTTTTAAAATTTTATTATACTTTAAGTTCTGGGATGCATGTGCAGAATGTGCTGGTTTGTTACATAGGTATACATGTGCCATGGTGGTTTGATGCACCCATCAAACCGTCATCTAAGTTTTAAGCCCCACATGCATTAGGTATTTGTCCTACTGCCCTAATGCTATCCCTCCTCTTGTCCCCCACCCCCTGACAGGTCCCAGTGTGTGATGTTTCCCTCCCTGTGTCCATGTGTTCTCATTGATCAACTCCCACTTATGAGTGAGAACATACAGTGTTTGTTTTTCTGTTCCTCTGTTAGTTTGCTGAGAATGATGTTTCCAGCTTCATCCAAATCTGTGCAAAGGGCATGATTTTATTAATTTTTATGGCTGCATAGTATTCCATAGTGTATATGTGCCACATTTTCTTTATCCAGTCTACCATTGATGGACATTCGGTTGCTTCCAAGTCTTTGCTATCATAAATAGTGCTGCAAAAATCATATGTGTGCATGTGTCTTTATAGTAGAATGATTTATAATCCTTTGGGTATATGCCCAGGAATGAGATTGCCGTGACAAATGGTATTTCTGGTTCTAAATCCGTGAGGAGTCACCACATTGTCTTCCACAATGCTTGAACTAATTTACATTTCCACTAACAGTGTAAAAGCATTCCTATTTCTCCACATCCTCTCCAGCATCTGTTGTTTCCTGGCCATCCTAGCTGGTGTGAGATGGTATCTCATTGTGGTTTTGATTTGCATTTCTCTAATCACCACTGATGATAAGCTTTTTTTCACATATTTGTTAGCCACACAAATGTCTTCTTTTGAGAAGTGTCTGTTCATATCCTTTGCTCACTTTTTGATGGGGTTGTTTGCTTTTGTCTTGTAAATTTGTTTAAGTTCCTTGTAAATTCTGGACATTAGCCCTTTGTCAGATGGATAGATCGCAAATATTTTCTCCCACTATTGTAGATTGCCTGTTCACTCTGATGATAGTTTTTTTTCCTGTGCACAAGCTCTTTAGTTTAATTAGATCCCATTTGTCAATTTTGGCTTTTATTGCAATTGTTTTTGATGTTTTAGTCATGAAGTCTTTTCCTATGCCTATGTCCTGAATGGTACTGCCTAGGTTTAGTTCTAGGGTTTTATAATTGTAGGTCTTACATTTAAACCAATTAATCCATCTTGAATTAATTTCTGTATAAAGGGTAAGGAAGGGGTCCAGTTTCAGTTTTCTGCATATGACTAGCCAGTTTTCCCAGTACGATTTATTAAATAGGGAATACTTTCCCCATTGCTTGTTTTTGTAAGGTTTGCCAAAGATAAGATGGTTGTAGATGTGTGGTGTTATTTCTGAGGCCTCTGTTCTGTTCCCTTGGTCTATACATATATGTTTTGGTACCAGTACCCTGCTGTTTTGGTTACTGTAGCCTTGTAGTATAGTTTGAATCCAGGTAGCATGATGCCTCCAGCTTTGTTCTTTTTGCTTAGGATTGCCTTGTCTATACGGGCTCTTTTTTGATGCCATATGAAATTTAATGTAGTTTTTTCTATGTCTGTGAAGAAAATCAATGGTAGCTTGATGGGAATAGCATTGAATCTATAAATTGCTTATAGCAATTTTCACAATATTGATTCTTCCTGTTCATAAGCATGGAATATTTTTCATTTGTTTGTGTCCTCTCTTATTTCCTTGAGCAGTGGTTTGTAGTTCTCCTTGAAGAGGTTCTTCACATCCCTTGTAAGTTGTATTCCTAGGTATTTTATTCTCTTTGTAGCAATTGTGAATGGGAGTTCACTCATGATTTGGCTATTTGTCTATTATTGGTGTATAGGAATGTTTGTGATTTTTGCACACTGATTTCAAATCCTTAGACTGCTGAAGTTGCTTGTCAGTTTAAGAAGATTTGGGGTTGAGACGATGGGGCTTTCTAAATATATAATCATGTCATCTGCAAACAGAGACAATTTGGCTTCCTCCCTTTCTATTTGAATACCCTTTATTTCTTTCTCTTGCCTGATTTCCCTGGCTAGAACTTCCAATACTATGTTGAATAGTAGTGGTGAGAGAGGGCACCCCTGTCTTGTGCCGGTTTTCAAAGGGAATGCTTCCAGCTTTTGCTCATTCAGTATGATATTGGCTGTGGGTTTGTCATAAATAGCTCTTATTATTTTGAGATATGTTCCATCAATACCTAGTTTATTGAGAGTTTTTAGCATGAAGGGCATTGAATTTCTTCAAAGGCCTTTTCTGCATCTAATGAGATAATCATGTGGTTTTTGTCATTGGTTCTGTTTATGTGATACATTATGTTTATTCATTTTCATATGTTGAACCAGCCTTGCATCCCAGGGATGAAGTCGACTTGATCATGTTGGATAAGCTTTTCGATATGCTGCTCAATTTGGTTTGCCAGTATTTTGTTGAGGATTTTTGCGTCAATGTTCATCAGGGATATTGGCCTGAAATTTTCTGTTTTTGTTGTGTCTCTGCCAGGTTTTGGTATCAGGATGATGCTTGCTTCATAAAATGAATTAGGAAAGAGTCCCTCTTTCTCTATTGTTTGGAATAGTTTCAGAAGAAATGGTACCAGCTACTCTTTGTAACTTCTGGTAGAATTCAGCTGTGAATCTGTCTGATCCTGGACTTTTTTTGTTTGGTAGGCTATTAATTACTGCCTCAATTTCAGAACTTGTTATTGGTCTATTCAGGGATGCAACTTCTTCCTGGTTTAGTCTTGGATGGGGAGTATGTGTCCAGGAATTTATCCATTTCTTCTTAATTTTTCATTTATTTGAGTAGAGGTGTTTATATTATTCCCTGATGGTAGTTTTTATTTCTGTGGGATCAGTGGTGATATCTCCTTTATCATTTTAAATGGTTCTATTTGATTCTCTGTTCTTTCCTTCTTTATTAGTCTGACTAGTGGTCTATCTATTTTGTTAATCTTTTCAAAAAACCAGCTTCTGGATTGTTAATCTTTTGAAGGGTTTTTCATGTATCTATCTCCTTCAGTTCTGCTCTGATCTTAGTTATATTTTGTCTTCTGTTAGCATTTGAATTTGTTTGCTCTTGCTATCAGTTCTTTTAATTGTGATGTTAGGGTGTGGATTTTAGATCTTTCCCATCTTTCTGATGTGGGCATCGAGTGCTATGAATTTCCCTCTAAACACTGCTTTAGCAGTCCCAGAGATTCTGGTATGTTGTCACTTTTTTCTCATTGGCTTCAAACAATTTACTTATTTCTGACTCAATTTCATTATTTTCCCAGTAGTCATTCAGGAGCAGATTGTTCAGTTTCCATGAGTCATGCAGTTTTGAGTGAGTTTCTTGATCCTAAGTTCTAATTTGATTGCACTCTGGTTTCAGAGACTGTTTGTTATGATTTCCATTCTTTTGCATTTGTTGAGGAGTGTTTTAGTTCCAATTATGTGGTTGATTTTAGAATAATTGCTATGTCATGCTGAGAAGGATGTATGTTCTGTTGTTTTGGGGTGGAGACTTCTGTAGATGTCTATTAGGTCTGCTTGGTCCAGAGCTCAGCTCAAATCCTGAATATCCTTGTTAATTTTCTGTCTCATTGATCCATCTAATATTGACAGTGGGGTCTTAAAATCTCCCACTATTGTTGTGTGGGAGTCTAAGTCTCTCTGTAGGTCTCCAAGAACTTGTTTCACGAATCTGGGTGCTCCCGTATGGGTTATATATATTTAAGATCACTCTTCTTGTTGCATTGATCCCTTTGCCATTATATAATGCCCTTCTTTGTCTTTTTTGATCTTTGTTCATTTAAAGTCTGCTTTATCAGAGACTAGGATTGCAACCCCTGCTTTTTTTCCTTTCCATTTGCTTGGTTAATATTCCTCCCTTTATTTTGAGCCTATGTGTGTCTTTGCACATGAGATGGGTCTCCTGAATACAGCACACCGATGGGTCTTGATTCTTTATCCAATTTGTCAGTCTGTGTCTTTTAATTGGGGCATTTAGCCCATTTGCATTTACACATAATACTGTTATGTGTGAATTTGATCCTGTCATCATGATGCCAGTTGGTTATTTTGCACATTAGTTGATGTGGTTTCTTCATAGTGTGATTGGTCTTTATATTTTGGTATGTTTTTGCAGTGGCTTGTACTGGTTTTCTTTTCCATATTTAGTACTTCCTTCAGGAGCTCTTGTAAGGCAAGACTTATGGTGACAAAATCCCTCAGCATTTGCTTTTCTGTATAGGATTTTATGTCTTCTTCACTTTTGAAGCTTAGTTTGGCTGGATATGAAATTCTGGGTTGAAAATTTTTTTAAGAATGTTGAGGCCAGGCACTGTGGCTCACACCTGTAATCCCAGCACTTTGGGAGACAAAGGCAGCAGATCACGAGGTCAGAAAATCGAGATCATCCTGGCTAACACGGTGAAACCCTGTCTCTACTAAAAAAATGAAAAACAAAATTAGCTGGGCATGGTGGAAGCAGAGCTTTCAGTGAGCTGAGATTGTGCCACTGCCCTCCAGCCTGGGCAACAGAGCAAGACTCCGTCTCAAAAGAAAACAAAAAAAAAAAGTTGAATATTGGTCCCCACTCTCTTCTGGCTTGTAGGGTTTCTGCAGAGAGATCTGCTGTTAGTCTGATGGGCTTCCCTTTGTAGGTAACCTGACCTTTCTCTCTGGCTGCCCTTAATATTTTTTCCTTCATTTCAATCTTGGAGAATCTGGCGATTATGTGTCTTGGGGTTGCCCTTCTCAAGGAATATCTTAGTGGTGGTCTCTGTATTTCCTGAATTTGAATGTTGGCCTGTCTTGCTGGGTTGGAGAAGTTCTCCTGGATAATATCCTGAAGTGTGCTTTCCAACTTGGTTCCACTCTCCCCATCACTCTCAGGCACACCAATCAATAGGAGGTTTGGTCTTTTCACATAGTTCCATATTTCTTGGAGGCTTTGTTTGTTCCTTTTTTTCTTTTTTCTCTAATCTTGTCTTCATGCTTTATTTTCTTAAGTTGATCTTCCATCTCTGATATCCTTTCTTCTGCTTGATTGATTCAACTATTGATACTTGTGTATGCTTCACGAAGTTCTCAAGCTGTGCTTTTCAGCTTCATCAGGTCATTTATATTCTTCTCTATACTGGTTATTCTAGTTAGCAGTTCCCGTAACCTCTTATCAAGGTTCTTAGCTTCCTTGCATTTGGTTAGAACTGCTCCTTTAGCTCAGAGGAGTTTGTTATTACCTACCTTCTGAAGCCTGCTTCTGTTAATTTATCAAACTCATTCTCCATACAGTTTTGTGCCCTTGCTGGGGAGGAGTTACAATCATTTGGACGAGAAGAGGCCTTCTGGTTTTAAGAATTTTCAGCACTTTTGCGCTGGTTTTTCCTCATCTTTGTGGATTCATCTAACTTTGATCCTTGATGCTAATGACATTTGGATGGGTTTTTGGTGGCGTCCTTTTTGTTGATGTTGATGTTATTGCTTTCTGTTTGTTAGTTTTCCTTCTAACAGTCAGGTCCCTCTTTCGCAGGTCTGCTGGAGTTTGCTGGAGCTCCACTCCAGACTATGTTTGCCTGGGTATCACCAGTGGAGGCTGCAGAACAGCAAAGATTGCTGCCTCCTCATCCTCTGGAAGCTTCATGCCAAAAGGGCACCTGCCTGATGCTAGCCAGAGCTCTCCTGTATGAAGTGTCTGTCGACCATTCTTGGGAGGTGTCTGCCAGTCAGGAGACACACGGGTCAGGGACCCACTTGAGGTGGCAGTCTGTCCCTTAGCAAAGCTTGAGTGCTGTGCTGGGAGACCTGCTCTCTTCAGAGCCAGCAGGCAGGAATATTTAAGTCTGCTGAAATTGTTTCCACAGCTGCCCCTTCCCTTAGGTGCTCTGTCCCAGGGAGATGGGAGTTTTATCTATAAGCCCCTGACTGGGGCTGCTGCCTTTCTTTCAGAGAGGAGGAATCTAGAGAGGCAGTCTGGCCACAGCAGCTTTGCTGTGCTGATGTGAGTTCCACCAAGTTCAAACTTCCCAGCGGCTTCCTTAACACTGTCAGGGAAAAACCACCTACTCAAGCCTCAGTAATGGTGGCTGGCCCTCCCCCTACCAAGTTTGATCATCCCAGGTAGACTAGACTGTTGTGCTGGCAGCGAGAATTTCAAGCCAGTGGTGCTTAGATTGCTGGGCTCTTTGGGAGTAAGACCCACTGAATGAGAACACTTGGCTCCCTAGCTTCAGCCCCCTTGCCAGGACAGTGAACAGTGCTGTCTCACTGGAGTACCAGGCGCCAATGGCGTGAGGAAAAAAAAAAAACTGCAGCTAGCTCAGTGTCTGTCCAAACAGCCACCCAGTTTTGTGCTTGAAACCCAGGGCCCTGGTGGTGTAGGCACACGAAGGAATCTCCTGGTCTGCGGGTTGCAAAAACCATGGGAAAAGGGTAGTATCTGGGCTAGATAGCACAGTTCCTCGGGGCTTCCCTTGGCTTGGGGAGGAAGGTTCCTGGCCCCTTACATTTCCCGGGTGAAGCAATGCCCCACCCTGCTTCTACTTGCTCTCCGTGGGTGGCACCCACTGTCTAACCCATCCCAATGACATGAACTGGGTACCTTAGTTGGAAATGCAGAAATCACCTGCCTTCTGCAGGTGACCAGTGTCTCGCTGGGAGCTGCGGGCTGGAGCTATTCCTATTTGGCCATCTTGCCAGATCCCGTATCATGTTAATTTCTTAAGGAAAATATTGTAGCTAGGGTTTGGCAGTCATAACTTATTTTTTGGTTTGAGGATACCTATTTATGGAGCAAACACTGGTATTTATATGCTGTGCACACAGAAAAACAGAAATGAGAATTAAGTGAGAAATATGCATGCATCTGAGAACATATATATACTCTATGTATATCTTTTTGTTAAACCTATTTTGGTCTGTTTTGAGATTACCTTATCTAAAACATAATTTTAGACGTTTAGAAAAAATAAGTAAAATTATTCTATTTATATATTTGTTACATATTTCTCACATTAAAATAAACAATCATGAAATATTCAATTCCAATACAATATTCAAACGTATCTGGGTTTGAAAATATGACCTGGTTCAGTGCATTCTTATTCATAAATCCTATGGAAGACTTTCAACTTTCTAATTACATGATTGGCTAATCTTAGTTTATACACATTCAAAATAAAAAATATGATTTATTCACAGGCACAAATAACTGATGAAAGTTACAGTAGGACCATTGGTCTTGGTCCTCCTGTGCTGTCTGGAGACAACAGAAGTACATACTTCTCCCTTCAGCCAACATGTGATCTGATATTTTATGAGTTAACATTTAACCATTTAAATTCTATGTCATTTCTTTTTAAATTACTACCATTAAAAGTATTATCAAACATTTCTATCTATTACTGTTATTTTGGTAATTATAATAATAAAAATGTTGTTTGTAAAGAAATGAGCATATTTTAAAGAAATGAATTTAGAGGTATATATAAATAAAATTATCTAATGAGTGATAACTTGCTTTCAAGTTCTTCACATAAATATTGAGGAATAAATAGAACAACAGTGATGAAATCCTAATAATTGCTTAATCTAAGTGATGGCCTTATGATGTTTTATTGAACTGTTATATTTTTAATATGTTAGAAAAAATTTTGTATTTGCTTAAAGACAGATTTCATTGGAAAGAATGATACATTCCAAATATTACCATGTCATTAAAGATAAATTTTCTGAAATTGGACAAATAAATATTATCAAAATATCATAATTTAGGTGCCACAAAATTTTAACATTTTTCTTACTATAGGACTCAGAAAATCATACATAATATTTCAGATGTGTAAGTGATTTATGGGTGAGGCAGGTGATTTCCGCATTTCCAACTAAGGTACCCAATTCAACTCATTGGGACTGGTTAGACAATGGGTGCAGGCCACAGAGAGTGAGCAGAAGCAGGGTGGGGTGTCACCTCACCTGGGAAGTGTAAGGGGCCAGGGACCTCCCTTTCCTAGCCAAGGGAAGCCATGAGGGACTGTGCTATCTGGCCCAGATACTACACTTTTCCCATGGTTTGTCCAACCTGACCAGTCAAATGGGCCTGACTAGAGATATGTTACTGTTAGTTTCCTGTTCTTTATCTGGATTCTTATCAAAAGAGTCTAAACCTATCATAGTAGTTTTTGACACATTCATCATGCTAATAGTTCATGTTAAACACAGAACAATTATTTTGTCTAAAATGACAGATAGATAGATAGATAGATAGATAGATAGATAGATAGATAGAGATACAAATACCAGTATACAGTCTGTTGGTGAACTACTTAGTTTTCTTTTCCACAGGGAACATTTAATTAAATAGTGATGCTTTCTTTGTGTAGGGTAGTTGTTTCTCTCTAAATCCAGTATGTTTTCTTTTTGCTACAGCCTACTTCTCCAACCTATAAAGATCACTTTAGATATTAATGCTCTCATCAAAATAATTTATTTCTGTTCCTGGCTTCTTTTGATCTGAAAATCTGGTGTATATTATTTCTGTGGTTACAAAGAAGTTTTGTATATGGAAGTATAAAGTTTGCTAAATTCCATTTTAATTTAACTCATTACTGTTACTAGTAGGCTTAATTTTTTAAATAAAATAAAAATGATAAAATCACTGTAAACAAAGACCTAGTCAAGGCAAAAATGTTGTCTAAATTGCAATGGCTTATTAAACATTATTCCTTCAAAATATAGTGAACTATTTTTGACATAAACAATTATAAATAATGACACATAAAGCACCCAGACTCTCACTACACATGTGATGTAATATGTCATTAACATATTGTAATTCCATTCAAAACTTTTGTTTGTGTTTTCTATACTCTGTGCCTCATTTGCCTCCTATAATTTTCTTGAATTTATTTGTAGTTTTACTACCCATTTGTGTATACATATGTATATACACACATACATATGTATACATACATATACATATGTATATGAGTACCTTTTCATGTTTTAATGTTCATGTTTATTTATAATCTATATGTCCTCATCCAGCTTGTTTTTGAAAAATTTTTATTCAAGTATGTGTATTATTATGTGTATTATTAAATATAATGACAATGGCCCCTCTTGCCAAGAAGATTGACTACTATCTTACTGAGTCTCTGTTCTAAGGCAACAAAAACCAATGTCCCACCATGTTTCTTTAAGGAGATCAAGCAATGGCTTAGTAGAAAGTTGATAATTGTGTCTTTTCCACCTTGGAAATAACATTTCATCCTAATTGTGTTTAGCATGTGTTTCAGTTATAAATTAGACATTACTGTTCACAGGGTTTCACCCAGTGTCACTATCAGAGGCTTTTGGAAATCTCATTTACAGAGGTGAACTCCTGATGACATGCTTAAGTCGTAGTAATCTACTTTATGGCAAATGTAATGTTGCAGTGGGTACTCTTATCATGGGTTGAACTGGTTCAAGTACATGCTGTAGCATCCGGTAGTTTGTTTCCTGAAAGAACATTGGGATAGCCTCTTGAAAATGAAGCAGAAGCACAAGCTTAGAGATTGTATCTGGGGAGACCGCAGCACTCTCCTTCAAGACCTAGTATATCCCTTAAATGAACATAGTATAGTTCTGTGATCCCAAACAGATAGAGTAGATGGACCTGGGAATAAGAGATTGAAGTAAGAGCAACTCTGACTACAGAAAGTGAGTCAATTCAAGCGACCTACTTAAGAAATTAGTTTCCACAATCTTAGTCCACGTGAATGTAAAATTCCTACTTGTCAGAGGTTGGAGTGTTAGAAGAAGAACTGAAAGAAAGACCAGAAAGAAGAGGCCTATTCCAGACAGAGAGAATAGCAAGTGTAAAGTTGTGATGTGTCCAGAGCAATGTAAGCAGGACAGAGAATATCAATGGTTCATTGCATTATTCTCACAGGTGCAAACACACAGTGCAAAAGACAAAATTTTGACTTTCTTCCTGGCTGCTATAAAATTAATCATTTTTTTTCCTGTTTTCTTCTAAGCTCCTGTGATTATTTTCTCCGAATCAACTCTTCATCTTTGCAGTTTTTACCAATAAGTTTTCTAAGACTCACTGTAGTCATATTATTTGCCATAAAACCAGTAACTGTATGCCATATCTAAACTCTTTAAATTACACAGAATTATGTACTGTGAATCATCCACTCCTTGAAATTCTTCTTTAGTTTTGATGATAGAATGGTTTGCTTATTCTACACATTGCTCCTTCTACACAGTGAAAAGGAGCAATGTGGTTAGGAAGAAATAGCACTGGGAAGATTTATCACTCTACAACTGACCAACCTCATTGCTGTGAGTTTTGGTTCTATCACGCATATTAACCATTCACTGAATGGCTTATCTTAACCACATGCTGATCTAAGTGTGCACATTATCTTGTCTAATGTGACCTTTAACATTCCTACCAAAGTAACTATCTTTTGCCACTAAAACATTTCTCCTCTTGTAATAGGTTTTTTAATATTTTTGAGTGAATTCATGATTATTAGCTATAGTATTCCCTGCTTTCATTTCAGCCTGAAGTCTACAGACATAAATAACATTTATAAATCATTGATTTATTCTGATTTTTCTCTTATGTATAAAATTTTACCGTATTATTTAATTTATTAAATCCAGTCATTGCTTCTGGCCTTCATAATCTAGTATAGAATGATTTTAATATATTTAAGCAATGCTGTTTTCTAGTATTCCTCAGGCACCTAAAAAAAGCTTCAGTTAGATACATTTTCACCAAGAATAGTCCCAAGATTTTATTCATTCTTTTCAGAGTTTCTGTTTTTGATTGACAACCAATGTTTTTCCATTCCAAAAAGCCTTTTTCACTTAGTAAAAGTCACTCATTTTTCTTCTCTGAAGTATGTAATATTTAAAAATCATATTTTTTTGTAGGACTTATTATTTTCTTGCCATCTAATCTCTAAGTCAATATTCATATGTATACATGTGTTTCTGCATGTATGTATTTATGTATATGCGTACATGTGTGTATGCATGGGTGTATTTTCTTCTTTTGTGTCTGTCACAAACCTTAGAAATGCTGAGTGCACAATACATACTTAGACAAAGCAAATGTTTTTGATTAATTGTTCTTCACTCTAGACCTCCCTTAGTTGAAAGTTAGAGGTAGAAATAATTGGTTTTATATATTCATTTTTCAGGCTCACATTAGAAAATATTTATTGTGAGAGTATTTGTACTAATGACCACGTGCTATGGAGTCACAAAGCCTGGTCTGGAACCCTTGTTTGTGGGTTATTAACTGTGTGACCTTAAACAAGTTACCTTTTCTGAGTCTTCATTATCTTATCCTTATTATACAACTCATAGAGTTTAGAGGGGAATAATAATGATGATGGTGATCATCATTACCATCATCAATACTAGAAATAATGATTGCACTAACTGTGTGCCAGAAACAGTACTAAGAATATTCCAAGATAAGGAACACAGACATGAATTTTACTAAACTCAGTAATCTATAGAAGCCAAAAATTTGGAATGACATAATAAGAAATTTATAAGACTGTGCTTTTAGCTCACAATTGGTATTCCATCAGAATTCTTAGAAAATTAGTAGATCAAAAAATATGTATAATATTCAGAATCCATTCCTTATTAAGAAGTAGAGCAGTGGATCAGCAATAATATATTGGACAGTGAAACTGGGTACTCATAATGCATAATTATAATAATCTAATAAAGGATATTATAGAACTACACAATAATGATCTTATACTTAGAAAACTAGATAGAGGATTTTTTTCAGTGAGAATTTATAAAGTACTTTTATTTCCCAGGCTTTGAAATAATTCCTGAAAGAGTGTGCAAATTTATTTGAAAATATTATGCTTATAAAAATTTGACTATAGGACTTTAATAACAAAGTAAGCCAATAAGAAAGCATAAAACAGTGTGCTCACAATTAATGGTTAAATACAGAACATGCAGTAGCAATTCACTCTGAATCACTATTAAGATGCTGAGTATCTTCCTAAACTCGATATGCCTTTGGTACCCCATTTAGAGTATATTCATTGCTTCATTACTTTTCATCCCTCAGGATGATATGGAACATGAGGGAAAAAAACAAAATTTTCCAGCGATGCCTAACGGTTGTTGATGGAAAAACATTTGAAAAATAATTTTACAGTAAGCAGCAAGTTGCTATAAATTAATATGTAGTCACAGATAATTTTGAAAATTTATAAATGTTGAGGAAGTCTGGCCTTCTAGATATTTTAGGAGGAGTATATTGGCCAGACCTTTTTCTTAAGTGCATTGGCCAGAAATTCTAGATTTACAATATTTAAAATTGCCAGCAATGATGTACAAATTCATGGCAACTCCAAGCATAAAAATAAAGCTATTTAATTAAGAATTTGCCTACTGTGTTTCATATAGTCTTAAAAATGCATATGCAAGTCCTTTACAGGGAAAACTACAAATTGCTATTGAAGAAAAGCTGTATGGTGAAGTATATACATATTGCAATGATGCCAATAATCTTCAAACTGTTTATTGATTCAATTAAATTCAGGTCAAAATCTCAGCATACTTTTGGCAAATTGAAGTGATTATATTATGGAATGGTGAAGAGTCAAGGTTAATCAAGAAAAATTTAGAAGAAAATGAATGTGAAGTTCTCAAATTATTATTTATTTGATGTAATTATAAAACTATAGTAACTTAGTCAATGTTGCATCAGCCATAACATTGAAAACCCAAAAATAAACCCCTCACCATTTTATGTAAGATCTAAAAATAGAGACATACATCGTTCATTATTTATAACTATCTAAGTAGTTAAACATCAATATCAATATAATTTTAGGTATGTTAAAGAAGGTGTAAAATGTCTGTCAAGGACAAGAACAGTGAATCAGAATTAAAATATTGAACAGTGAAACCAAATACTCTGGTTGTATGAGTCCAATAGTCTAGTATTGGTCTTTATAGAATGTTAGAAAAAAAGTCTTATTGTTCAAACAAACTTGCACCTCAATATTTTTAATGGTACTGCTTAGAATAGCCCAAATGTCCATCAACAGATAAGCAAATAAACAAAATATGGTATAGATACATAGTGATTTATTCGCACAATGAGCTATTATTAAGCAATAAAAAATAAAATACGGATGCATGATACAACATGAATGCGTTTTGAAAACATGTTAAAGTGAAAGAAGTATCACAAAAGAATATATACCATATGATTCCTTTCATATTAAAGATCAGACTAGGGAAATTCATAGAGATAGACAATAAATTAGTGGTTGATTGTGACTGGTAGTGAATGAGGGTGAAATATGGGATTGATAAGTGAAGAATACTTGGTGGTTTAATTTAGGTAATTTAACTGCTTAAACTGACAAGACCATCGTGTGTGTGAACATGCTAAAAACCAATGAATTGTAGAATTTAAATAAATGAATTTATGGTGTTTGAAATATATTTCAGTAAAGCTGCTTTAAATTGGCAGATGTTATTCACATAGAAAAACTGCATACATATTGCTACTAAAAATAGACTATTCATGCCATATATGCATATTTAATAAAAGTATATCAAATTTATATTATTCCTCAAAATATAAAATTTCAGAAAAGAAAAAAGCCATTAGAATTCATAATAGAACAAAGAATTACTTCCATTGTGGCCTTTGATTAATTGGTAGATTTTAACAAGTAGATTTTGACATAGTATATTTTTCTTTTATTCATTCTACAATGGTAAAACGAAAGGTAGAGATTATTTCTATCTTGGGAAAAGATTAATAAGTAGTCAATTACAATCAAAGCATTGTATTTTTAAATGGAAGAAGTGAGTAATAAAAGGAAAGATAAGGACATTAACATTACAACAGCAAATCTTGAACATAAAATTTGGTTATTATAACTGAAATTTCAGGCAATTACAAACTCTTTCTGATTTTTTTGTTTGTGAAAACTAACAACAAATACTCTTGGTTCAGGACATTATTAAAGTTCCACCTAAATAACCCATGTTTCTTTTCTGCATTAAAGTTTGTAATCTTGATAACAATCACAATAACAATAATAATTTAAATATTGATATTTTATAAGTGAAAAATAAATTTACTAATTTTTTAGGATATACTAGTTAGCAGATCAGAATTTTGTTTAGCAAACATAGAAGAAGATTTTGCATTAGAATTTTTTTTTTTTTTTTGAGATGGAGTTTCACTCTTGTTGCCCAGGCTGGAGTACAATGGCACGATCTCCACTCACTGCAACCGATGCCTACCATGTTCAAGCAATTCTCCTGCCTCGGCCTCCTGAGTGGCTGGGATTACAGGTGTGTGCCACCACGCCTGGCTAATTTTTGGTTTTTAGTAGAGACATTTCACCATGTTGGCCAGGCTGGTCTCAAACTTCTGACCTCAGGTGATCCACCTACCTCAGCCTCCCAAAGTGCTGGGATTACAGGCGTGAACCACCCCACCCGGCCAGCTTTAGAGTTTAGAATTTGGTTCAATCCAATTGAATTGTGCATCTCTGCTCTTAAGTAAGGTTGGAGCTATATATGCAGATGTGATGCTTAAAACCTTGAATTCACTAAAATACCTAAACATTTCCTAGAAAATAATGAAAATAAACAAAAAAACAGCACCTTGTCTATTTCTTAGAGTTGTTGAGCAGAAGAGTCTGTATAGGTGACAGAAAGAGGACTTTAAAAAAATGTATAAAATGAATTTGAAGAGTGTGATAATATGTAAAGAAACTTATAATCAAGAGACATAAAAATAAAAAGTAGTCAAAAATTGAGAAGATATTTTAGCCTTTATGTCCTTACCCTTAGAGTAAGATATCTTTCATTATACCTATCTATGCTTCTCTATTTACCTATGTATATATACACATTCATATACTTTTTCAGTTGTATCATGTAAGTTCATATGGTCTTTCTGAAATAAAAAGCCAAAACCAAACAGTAGAACATAATAATTGACTTTATGCTGTTTTTCTCTGAATGACAATATACAGACATGACAAAATGTTGACTCATTTGTACCACAAATATGAGCAGAAATATAACAAATAATTTACATGTTAAACAATAAAGAGAAAAACTAATGGAATATACCTAATTATTTACAAATTTTAAAATAGCTAAAGTGTTTCATTTGTTCCACAACATTATTATAGTTCTTTTTAATTTTCACAATTATAGTGTGTTGTATTTTATTTTTAATTTGCATTTTTCTGATGATAATAATAATTATATTCCCATGTGCTTTTTGATCATTTATGTGTATGTGAAGTGTATGTATGAAGTGTGGAAATATTCTATGTGTATGAGAACTGTGCAAATATTTCATTCCTATTTAAAATCATGTTATTTTTCTTATGATTGACATGCAATAGTATAGGAAGGATAGATAGCAGAAGGATATGAGGAAGCTTTTAAGAAGATAGAAATGTTGTATAATTTCAATTGAATGCTTTATAAACAGTTTATCCTATGTAAATTATATATTAACAAATTTGGTAAAATACAAAAATTAGGTAAAACTTTAATCATTAAAATTGCAGCATTTAGGGCAATTGATACAGAAATAAAATATCTTTATAATAGTAACTAACATCTCATTTTAACCTGAACAAGACAATTATTTTAATACATAGTGAATGGAAAAAGAAAATAAGGCATCTATATTGTTGAGCAACTTTTTGAGTCTGACTTATAATCAATGGAATTGGTTATTATATCCGATTATTCAACTAAATAACTTAATGCACTTTTGTTTTTACTCTTCCCTTTAGTTTTGTCTATGGTATGAATAGGAAGTATCTTTGATTATTTGAACTCCCTTATTAAATTTAGAACAGTATTGAGAACTGGTATTCTAATATCTTGTTCATGAATCAGACCCATAAACAGGAATTTATATTTGAAAAGAGAATAGAGCAATATCTAACAGATCAAGATATTTTAGTAGTGTGCTTTATGAATATATTATTTGATATCACTCAATTCCGCTCATAAATTCTTTGTCTACTTCTTCTTATCATCTTTATGACTTTAGATTGTTTACATTCTCTCAGTTTCAGGTGTTTTTATCTGATAAATGGGATCAAACATTTATATTAATGCAACCGTTGTGAAGGTTGACATCAGTTCAATGATTTAAAATTTATTACATGTCTCTGTATCTAGGAAATACTCCATAAACTGGAATTTTTAACGTAATATGTTAGCATTTTGTTTGCATTAAATTCAGAACAAAACAAAAATATGGCAAACATCCAGCTAGCACCCAGGAATCTACCACCACCAACAAACATTGCAAGTTTAGAAAAGTAAGGTGAATCTTGCTTTGAAAAGAAGTTTACCTTTCATCAAAAATCTTCAACGCCTTTTCTGCTTTCTTAAAACTGAGGTACATCCACGACCAACTGAAATGTAGATGTTAAGAAATAAGCTTGAAAATTTTTACTTTATAGTAAAAAAATAATGTTAAAGGCAGAGGTTAGTAAGATTTTTATGAAACTATAAAGGATATTAAAATATTTTAAAATATTTGAGAGGCGTATAGGAAAGTGTATTCTAAACATTTACATGTGCACATGTGCAAACCTCCTGTAATTTATAATGTGGAAGAATAATGTGACAGTTTCAAGAAGCTTCCAAAACCAATTTAAATATTTATCTGAAATGAATCTAAATACCTCTTGAGATTAGCCTAATTCAGATTCTATTGTGTTATGGATAAAAATGAAGACACTATAAACTTGGCTTATAAGTAATATAATAATCAACTATAACCTTTGGTTTTCTATGTTATAGTAATAAAGATGTGTTGAATTTAGAATTTTCTAGAACAGAGAGAAAGATTGAGGAGGTGATAGTTTCCTTAGGTTAGAAATCACTATGTTTTTGCTGTAGAAATTGTTCTCAGGTTCTTTGTAGTTAGAATGTATGTAGTTCCTGTCATTTATCTACTCCTTTATTAACATCCATTTTTATTGAGGCAAAATAAAATAATTCTTTCTGAGATAAAACAATGAGAAAATTAGACTGTTTTCATTTTGGCTACTTCTGTAGGCCTTCGTTTTGCAAACAGTGACTAAGTAACTAATTGGGCACACATTATTTTCATTGCATAGAATAGCTATAATTTTATTTAGAAATGAAGTAGATTTTGTATCTTATTATAGCATATTCACCTGGTTTTTCAGTTTCAATTTTTTGTATTTGTGCCCCAAAGATAAATGTGCTATGGTTTTATAGCAGACACACATCAGTTACCACCCCAAAATATAAATATGTATGTCATATACATGTGTGTGGATAAAATTTAGTAACAGCGTTACTCATGTGGCATGTTAACTCATTATTAAGTATGACTTCTTTTACTAAATTTGCTCTTTTTTGCCTGATTTAGCAGAATAGTTTTGTTTTTTAAATCTCATATGCACTTTCATTGCCTAAATTGTATTTATTCAATATATTTTTTCCCTTTTCTGTTTTATAAAGAAGTGCTCAGATACACATATTTTCAAAACATTCTTTGTACCAATAGGGTAAAATATTTACTACTTGATATTTCTGGCAGTTTTATAAAAAAGTTAAAAATTGGTATATTTTTTGTACTGAATGATTCATCAGATAAATGTTTCCTTTTATGATTCCCAACTAAACCAAACTCCAAGGAGTTTTATTATTTGGAAATTTAAGACTAAGGAATCTTTAGAGGTAACTATCAAAAGAGAAAACTTTTTAAAAAATAACATTATTAATGCAAAATATGTTTGAATGTTTACTAATTGCCAGGAACTGTTTAAGCAATTTATGTGTATATCTTATTTAAATTCTAATGCAACTTTACCACCTTATCACAAAGTAAGCTTAACAAATTAAATTTAAACAGAGAAAGAGACACAGAGAGTAAGAGGTGGTAAGAGATTTATTTAAATTTCCCAATGTTACACAGCTACGAATATGGCAGAACAAGAACTCAAAATCACACATTTTGATACCGGAGCTTGAGCTCCCATTATTGAATTTACCTACTGCTCAAGATAAAAGCAAATGAAAAGGAATGATATATTATTGATAATACTAATGAAGCTTGGAAATTTTTTGCCCTTAATCTGACATTGGATCTATCTTTAAAGTTAGAAAACTAACTAAAATGGCCTAAGTTTCATGATGGAAATGTAAAACACATATCAGAAACATACTTTACTGGGAGAGAATATATGCTGTTTTCTCTTGTTATGAGAAACATCCACTTGATAATCTGTAAGCTTCCATTTTTAAGAAGCTCAGAAATGCATATAAATTTGTAAAATGAGCATAAACTGTTAGAATTATTACTGCTGTGTTATATCTGAACTCAAAAATAAGTATTCCTGGTCAGTGCCCCATACAACCTCAAAATGTACGTATTGTCTTTATCATTTTAATCGACTCTTCCAATGCTATTTTTCTGCCTTTAGAAATAGAATAAAGGAATGCACTTATTAATAAAGGGATTTTAAAGTTGAGTCTTTTGGTGCCACCTTCTGGCATAAATTATTGCATAAAGTATTTTAAATTATAAAAATGTCTAATGGTTAAATAAGTTAAATTAGATGGTTTTATGTCTAAGAAAAGACATTTCTACTTTAAGGTAATTTACTTGCACTGAAGTCAGTATAGAGAAGGAAGATTTGAAACTGATTTGAACCATACAAAGACAATTATTCAAAAACCAGTATAATTTTTCGTATGTAATAACTGTAAATAGAAAAAAGAAAAAAGAAGAAACCAATAGGAAATGGTAGTAACATTAAACAAACTTTATTAATCTATTAATTTTATTAACTAGATATTGGCAGGAACGTTAACAGTTTTTTTTTTTCCTGAGCAACTAAATACAGGACTCAATACCTTTAATTGTTATTTGAACCAATTGCATTTGATTCATGACTTTAGTTTTTACAAACTACTTCATACTCAGGTTATTTTGTTTCATTAGTATTTTATTTATTGCAAAGTTTAATATTGTGCTATTGTATTTACCACACATTGTGCTGATAAAAATAGAAAAACAGTTTCTAGAAGTAAAGGTGAGGTAAGAAAATTCTATATAATCATGATGACCTATTTTTTCAGTAATCCATTAAATATTGAAATATTTATTAACCTGTCAATCAAGCTCTAAGTTCACTGAGATTATATTTCAAAATTATTTAAAGTCTCCCTTTTTTCCTTCAGAAGAAGCAAAGTGTATAAATACATACACACACGTATATGAGTGAAACCTCTCAACTATATACATGCATATGTTCCTGACCTAATAAACCACGTTTTGCCAGAGTTGCCAGGGGTGATTTGAAAGTTGCTGAAATGTTAATTTGGTTGATACCGATTGAACAGAACTTAAATGTAGACTATGTTCTATTCCACTTTAAAGCAAGTAAAAAAAGTAAATTTTTGTGAATTACTTTGAAATTTAGTTTTCATGAACTCAACATACCCTGAAAATGAATTTTGACATACTACCTGAAAATGAATTTGACATATCACAATCACACAGTTTTTTTCAAAAATAAGCTATTTAAGTAAGGAAACACCTTATTATATTATTAGACTTTACCCTGACTTAACTTCTCTTAATTACTTAATTATATAAAACACTATCCAACTCTTTTGAATAATTTATGTAACAATATGCTACAAACATAAATGAATGGACATTTTAAAAAAGCATTTCACCAAGAGATTTCTGGAATTAACTTATTGTGTGACCTTGAGAAGTCCTTTAACTATTTTGAGGCTTTGTTTCTTCATCTATGAAATGAGAGGATTGGAGTCAATAACCCTTTCAATCTGATCAGCTCCTGATATTCTTTGAGCATATACTTCTGCTAGCTAGGGAAATATGAACGTAATGGGACACTGTATTGTATTAATTTCTTTGTTCTGGTGGCTGGAGGAGAATCTCAGGAAAAACACATAAGTAGAATGAACAAACTTTTTTTGTATTGTTTGGGCCTCATTTGTCTTAAGGTATATTAATGGACTTTATGTTTCAGAGTCTCAAAGAAGTTAATGGCACCCCTGAAGATTATCCTCAACCAAGCTTGTATATAGTAAAAGCCATTGGCTCATTGACAATAATTCATCAAAGTATAGAGGAGGAAAAGATGTATTGAGAAGTACTGATGCTTTGAGTTTAATGAAGTTCCCCAAGATGCAGAGAGATGAGATTTGAGAGTGCGGATGGGTTTCCTGATTGGCAGGGACCTGTTCAGTTGCAGTACCTGTGGTAGGTTAGTAAAATTTGTGTGTGTGTGTGTGTGTATACACTTGCACACAGGCATGCTTGCATGTTGGAAGAGGAGGAAGAGATTGAAATGCCACTAATGAGAATCTAGAGAAAGTAAAAATACTCCTGCTGAATGCTGATACAGAAGAGTAGAGCTGTTTATCTTTCAGTGCTTATGCAGACCATGGTCATTTGGGAGTACCAAAAGTAGCAACCATAAGTTCGCTATAGAAAAAAACAGAAGCCATGTCTTTGTTGTTAGCCTTCTACCTGAAGGGAAGATATTTTAATAAAGGCTTATTTTTTGAATTCCTTTACACTAGGTATTGGGGGCTCAGAATCAGATTTAAATTCAAGAAATCCCACACTTGTCCGTGAAATGTTTAGGTAAACGGGGCTTTGGACAGTGCTTCACATTGAACAGTGTTTTGTAGAACAATGACAATTTCTTTTATTCCTCTAACGGTAGGTTGATTTAATTATATCTGACTTCTGTCAAGATATTTTCTTTTCTGGTTTTCTGCAGTTTAAATATGATACACCTAGATGTAGAGGGTTTGGCATTAATTCTACTTTGTGTCCTCTGAGCTTCCTGGATCTGTAGTTTGATGTCTATAATTAATTGTTGATAATTATCATTATTATTCAAATAGATTTTTTGCTTCTTTTCCTTTCTGCTGCTGGTAATCTAATTATACATATGTTACACATTCATAATTGTTCTGTCTTCGATATTGTATTCTTTTTTTTCTTTCATTTCAGTTTGGGAAATAGAAACAGTTAAGTTTCTATTGACATGGCTTTTCTTGGCCATATTATGTCAACTGGTAAGTACATCAAAGGCATTCTTAGGTCCTGCTTCAGTGTTTGTGATTTCCAGCATTTGCTTTTGATTCTATCTTGGAGATTCCATCTTTCTGCTTATATTATCTATCTATTCTGGCATATTAATTGACTTTTCCATTTAGGCTTTTGACAGGAGTCAGGTTTTTTTTTTACCTATCTTGTCTGTTAATTATAATATCTGTGTCATATATGAGGTTAGTTATGATTAGTTCTTTGTCTTTTCAGAGGGTTTTTTTTTTTTTGCCTTTTGGCATTTAATAAAATGTTTTTTGAACACCAGACATGGCAAATGAGCAAATGGAAGCAGGGTAAATAGGTCTTTGTTATGAGAATTCATGTTAATCTGGATAGGATTTGTTCTGTAATAAATGTTTATTTTGGTTATAGGTATCGGAGGCTTCAACATCCTTCAGAATCCTTGTTTATGCCTTCACTCTTGACTTTTGGATTCCTTATATACACTTATAAAAGGTGGACTGTGTCTTGCAGCTATTTCAACTATAATCCACTGTTATTATAGAGGCAGCATTCTATAATTTTATGATTAAATCTGCGTCTGTTAGGGGGCCAGTTTCCCTGGGTTGTAACCTGCACAAGTGTTCCCTAGCCTTTTTTTTTTTTTCTGTAGGTGAGACAGAAAACGTAGAGAGTGCTGGAGTGTATTCCTGATGGGATAAAGCTATAGAATAATTTCAGAAGGTACCATGAACTTAGGTAAATATATGCCTGCGGTTGTAAAATATGATAGCTTTGGATCATCCTGAGGTTTTTATATCCACAGATTAATACCTTGTTTGCCATATATGGATCTGTAGTCATACTTATATTCATAACTGTACCTAAATATCCATGCATATATCCACATAGACACATATAAATAATGAATGCCATTGTTCGTAATTTTTAATTTTACTTGAGATTATAAGAGCTTGGTTTTGAATTCTCTGTTATGGCTGATCAAAATTGTCTAAGTTCAGTAGTTTTGGAATTAGACTAGAGATGTAATAATTTGTGCAGATACATTGAACAAGATAGAATTGTAACAATCAATTTGAAAATAATTGGCATCTTTGCAATATTGACCTCCAATCATGAGAATGGAATATTTTTCATTTATATAGCTTTTCTTCAGTAGTGATTTGTAGTTTTCTATGTAAAGGACTTGCATGTATAGTATGTTTGAGACTATTTTAAATAATGTCATGTCTAAAGTAGATTTTGTCTATTTTATTTTTATTCAACAAAATAATTTTTACATTTATTTTTATAACGAAGTGGTATGCTATATGATTACCAATTTTCCTGTTACATATTTTATGGTAAATTTAATGTAAAATTTTCATGTTATTGACTTAGAATATGCCCCTGAACATTGGATACCCTAGATAGATAGATAGATAGATAGATAGATAAAACGTAATTCTTTCTCGTTCTACTAATATCCTGAACGTTATATATATTTTTATTGATCAGTCATATTCTATAAACTATAGAGGAAACAATGCAATGTATTTTCCACATCAAATTAGAATAAATTTTGACTATTTGGTTCGAATTTTTAACTTGGGTATATATTTAATTTTCTAAGTTTCAAAATTATATTAGGTTTAAGAATGATTATACCCTTTGTAGGAACAATTTGAAAACCAGAGACAAATATATTTAAGGAACATAGAAGTTATGTTACTCAACAAATGGTAGTTATATTGTACAGAAAATAGGTATCATTGGTCTTTTATTTCTTGGATTAGTGCAGTCCAATAAAATGTACTGTATCCTTCTATATTCCTTCATAGTATTTCTCAAACTTAATTAATGATGATATTACTGTAATATTAGTCAATCCACCTGGCCATAAATTCCACAGGAACAAGTGCCATCACCTCTGTGTTGATCACCTCTGACTCTGCAGAGCTTGATATCTAGTAAGTGCTCAATTAATGTTTATTAAATAAATAAATGAACTGTTATCAGAGTACTCATCATACTATATGTAATGACAAAAATGAAAAAGTGTAATTCTAAGAAGATTTTATTTTAAAATATAAAATAATTTTCACTAATTTAATTTATGTATCAATATTGGAACCACTACAATGTTATGACTGAATCAAAGAGCACCTGAGAGCTAAGATGTTTATGGAGAATTTAACAATGAATTTTTAGCATAAGATTGTTAAGTTAGATATAAAACTGTCAGTGTTCAATAGGTCATGTATTTTGGGGGTTGTTTCTTTTACTGAGCTTCAGAAACTATTTGTATTAGCTAAGAGCAAAAATTATAAAATTTCTTTACAAATTAATCTACAAATAACTTCTGGGATCTTTAGTCAATAGTTAACAAAGAAAGGACTAACTACTTTCTCCTAAATAATTCCTGGGAAGCCTTTGCCCCATGGGATACTGTAAAGGTGTTCCGTACATATTTTTGTTTCCTTCCTAATTTTCAGATAAATTTTTCCTTATAAGTATATTTGATGACATTAATATTGCTTTCATTCTAAATATTTAATGATTAGTATATACCATTATATCTGTGGCTACAAGCTGAGTCTCAAGAGCCATACAGGCCTGGGTACGAGACTGAGCGAATTAGGAAAAATGACTAACCTACTTATGCCTCAATGTTCTCATATGTAAGAGTAATGTGTTCTATATCCTAGAAATCCATCAAGGTTGGATGCATATAAAACTTTTAATAAATGGTAGCTACTATGTGTTCTTCAAATATTTATATTTAAAAATAATGTATAATAAAGTTAATTGAGATTCCATGAATATTAACATCTGATAAAGCAATAACACTAGGAAGAAGATAGTTATATTTTGTATTTCTATAACATACACTTTATAGGTTTAAATGGCTTATACTATTGGTTCCAAACTTCCTATACTACTAGAACTACCACCACTATCATCACCAGCACCACACAAACACTCTCACACACACACGCATGCATACACACATCTCTAAAATCCAACTTTCACTTTGAAAGTAAAAGATAGGGCCTGCAGATTAAACTTTTCAAAAATATTTCAATCAAAACCTTAGATGTGTTTAGTGTGCCTCTTTATTACATGTTAATTGTATTGTGTCTACAACTTATCAAACATATTTTAAAATCAAGTGTTATTAAGTGCTTTTAAAATCCAACATGTGAATTGTTTTGTGGATACGAAAGAGTAAACAGATGAAACCATAGAAATAAACTTTCTTCATGTTAGCTTACAAAAGAAGTTTGTTTGTTTGATTACATTATTAAAATTCTAAATATAGCTTTGTTATTTCTTTTTGCCTTTTTTTTGGCCTAAATAATTCTTAGTAATTTTTTTTCTACTGGAAGAGTGAAACATATTATGAATATAAAATACATTATATTCTAATATTTTTCCTCACATTTTTTCAAATTCCAGTAATGAATTTTGAATAAATAATTCATGGATACTAAGCTGATTTCAGTTTATGGTGTGTAATAGTTATCTTTGCACTTTCTTTCAAGGAATTAGAAGAGAGGTATAATATAAATTAAATGAACCAGAGAAAATGCTTCTGTGAAAAAGTAATTGGTATAGGATAGGTTTTCTCAAAGTTTGTTGTGACAACAACTTGAAAAGTGTTGCCTGTGATGCTTGTTAACAATGCACATCCTGACTCTCCGTGAGTCAGACATTGTCTCTGGGATGTTAGTGGCTCTCCAGGTAATGCTTAGGTGAACTAAAAAGTTTTAAGTAACACTAGACAAGCAGGCATCTGTTTTAATAAAATAAAATATCTTTTTAATTCAACCCAGAAATAGGAAATCTTACTTTTCCATTTATTGAATCTTCAACAGATACTCATCTTAGCTCTTGCAAAAGCGAGTTATTAAGTGTGTGAACCCCTAAAATCTGAGACAGATCTCAGTTAATTTACCAAATGTCAAGTTTGAGGACACGTGTCCATGACACAACCTCAGGAGGTCCTGATGACATATGCCCAAGGTGCTCAGAGCACGGTTTAGTTTTATGCAATCTAGGGAGACATGAGGCATAATCAACACGTGCAAGATGAGCATTGGTTTGGACAATGCGAAGGAAAGGCAGGAAGACTCGAAGTGGGGAGGGGTCTTTGAGATTAGAGACAAACAGTTGCATTCTTTTGAGTTTCTGATTAGCCTGTCCAAAGAAGGCAATCAGATATACATTTATCTCAGTGAGCAGAGAGGTGACTTTGAATAGAATGGGAGGCAGGTCAGTCCTAAGCAGTTCCCACCTTGACTTTTCCCCTCAGCTTAGTGATTCGGGAGCCCCAAGTTTTATTTTTCTTTCACATTTCCCCCCTTTTCTTTTTTAAAAATCTTTTGGAGAAAGCATTTTTAAAGAAAATGAGTCTCTGATTTCAGGTTTTGTCTGATCTCTCATGGCTAGGATGGTTTATTCCTAGACAGGTAAGTCCCAAGTTATTAAGAAAGCTCATTTCTAGAAGGTTGTGAAGTCTCATGTCTTGTGAAGAGAAAATAGGGGGAGGAAGGGAGAAAAACAACAACAAACAAAAGAATAATCCTGAAAAATTGATATAGGCCACATTACTCTGAAGTCCATACATCAGTAGGCAAGTATGAAAGTGGCTTATGTATGTAAATAGGTTGCTGCTATTTTCTTCTGAAGTTTAAGTTGTCCAGCTTCAGTTCCCAGGGCTTTATGAAAGCACAGCTTAGTTTTCAGTGACTCCAAATGTTAAAAAAAATGGGTAAAAAGAAGGAAAAAAATTGAAAACATTATTTTGCAGGTGTTTTGCCAAGAAAAATTAGAATTTGGTTCAAGCTGTAGAAAATAATAAGAGCTTCATATACTTCACTCTTCACTGTTCATATACTTCACTTAGTTGTTAACAGCTGTAAATAGCTTAAAAGAAAAACATCAGGCAAGACTAAAATCTAACAACAGGTATATTATAGTTTTTTGAAACATTATTTTTCTCTCCCCAGTATCTCATTTTTACTACAGACAAATCCTGGTAGGACTGATTCGCCTTATTATGCTTGGCCTGATTCTTTGTATACAGTGCAGCAAGAATAATTTTTTTTTACATAGGCTTTTAAATTGGCTTTGATGGAAATTTGTTCCATAGAAAGAATCTCAGATAAGACTTTTTTAAAGAGCAGCCCAGCCATGGATTGGTACCATTAAATACCTATGAGTTGGGTGAATTCCTCTCCTCTTGAGAGGAATTCTCAGGATAAAACTGGGGCTCCTGGGCCTGTCAGAAAGTGGAACCCTGTACAGGGACTGTGTAGATAAGGATATGAGACTACTTTTTCCAAGGGGCTTTATTGGCCTCATAAGTCAAGTTTGAGTCCTTAAAGGAAAGCACACCATTCCGGTTAAAGTCTAGGTAAAATAACCCGTTTCTCCAATTGTGTCCTGTTAGAAATAAAAACAGATTCTTATTGCACTTATGCAAATAACTGTATTGTCATAAGTTGAAAATACTCATAAACATTTTCCAAATTCTGTAGAAATCAGGTAGAGATAAGTAAGCTCCAAATTCTGTTCATATACTTCACTCAGTTGTTAACAGCTGTAAATAGCTTAAAAGAAAAGTTTTTGTAACTCTAAAAAACAAACCAAAGGATCAGCGACGTTTTAAGCAAAAAGTTAAAAAGATTACTTCAGACTTCTATGAGTTTAGTTAATGCAGCTAATTCTTGTTCTGCTTGATATTCATGAACATTTCAGATCTCCATGAGTCTTGAAAATTTTTCCTGTATTCTGATGTCACAACTTCCAAAGTTATCAGAAACCTGCATTCAAAGCATCTGTTAGAATTTTATATCTGATTATGAAACCACCTTCTAAAGAGGATCAAAATAAGACAATTGTTCATGGATGACAAAAGTTTTAGGGAAGCCACTGTCAAAGACACAATTGACAAGAAAAGTTGTTACCTCTGTGGCACAAAATAATTTAACATAACAATTACAATTATTACTGATAATGTGCACTAAGTCATATTAAATTTATAGGAGTTTCCCATAATTTTGGAACACATACCAATAACACATTTATACAAATACAGCCCAAAGAAAATCAAACACCATTTCATCTTTGACAATGCTTCCTGTATAATTTTTATACCAAATAAGCCAAATATGTCATTTTTGGACTTTAGGGAATCTCTCTCTCTTTTTTTTTTTTTTTTTCTTTTTTGGAGACAGAGTCTCACTCTGTCACCCAGGCTGGAGTGCAGTGGCATGATCTCAGCTCACTGCAACCTCCGCCTCCCCAGTTCAAGCAATTCTCCTGCCTCAGCCTCCTGAGTAGCTGGGACTACAGGCGCACACAGCCACACCCGGCTAATTTTTTGTATTTTAGTAGAGATGGGGTTTCACCATGTTGCCCAGGCTGGTCTTGAACTCCTGAGCTCAGGCAATCTGCCCGCCTCAGCCTCCCAAAGTACTAGGATTACAGGCATGAGCCACTGCGCCCAGCCGGGAACCTCTTAATAATATCTTAAAGGATTAATTATATCAGAAAAAAACATAATTTATAATTTTATTTTGGAAAGTTTGTCAAATATCAAAGATTTAAAACACTTGATATCACAAAATAGGATTACAGGTCATTGTAAAATTAGTCATTCATTTCATAAAACTGATAACTCAAGGATTTCAAAAAAAGGCAAAACATTCATTCTTTGAGAGAGATTTAATTTTTCCAAACAATATGCCCTAATAAAAAACAGCATGAAGCCAATTAAATTTGTTTTTCAAATTTTATAAACAATCTATAAAATTTAATCTTGATCATAAGATATGGCTTTCATAAGCCTTTTATAACCTTTATAACCTTTAATAAGGAGTTGGTTAATGGTTCGAAAAAAGTGTGTTAATCTGACACAGGTGCCCATATGCTGGCCTTGCATCAGTGTGCCTTTGACATTAATGGTTAATTTATAGAGAAATTGAACTTATTTTATCTCTTAAAATTGACCCTTAAAATCTTACATGCCCAACTCTTCTGCAATAGTCCCTGGGCCTCGAAGAGTTGAAGGGCTTTAATTTCTGGCCCTGTGTCTTAAGAATGCAGTTCATTTGATTGGCATCTTCTATGGGCCCTGAAGTTGAGGCTTTAATTGCTTTAAGATTTAGCAGGACTTGGTGTCTTTTTAAGACCCAGGAGTCAAAGGCCTGTAACTTAATGTCACAAGTATTTTGAAAGCATATACAAAAAGATAAATGGATGTAATAAACTTAATTAAAAAATTTTTTTATCTCAGGTTTTTTTTTGGTAAGTGAATCAAAGCTTAATGATAATGGCATAGTAATTATTTTGATAAAACATAAAATCTGTTAGGCCAGTTACCAAAAGGCAAAAAAAAAAAAAAAAAAAAAAAAAAAAGACATTCTGCAGTGTACAGAATATTATGCTGGAAGAAAATATTTTCTTTAGATCTTTAACAAAAATATTGTTAGCATCAGGCCACAACAAGCAGAACTTGAGAAAAAAATTTATATAACCTGAAACTGATTTGAAGGAGAGATGATCATTTAGCACCTTTTAAAAGAGGAGAGAAACTAAAAATGGTGAGATGCAATAAAAGTTGAACTTTCGGGTAAAAAATTAAAATATCTTATAATTTATTGAGTAAATCTCTTAAGGAAAGTTATTATTCTAATTAATTCTTTAGTGTATAAGTGTTTTTTTACATTAAACCCAATCTCTAGAAAGACCATTATAATTTCCCTTTAATTATAAACACTTTTGCTCAAAAAAAAAAAAAAAGACAAGGTTTTAGGAGAGAAAAAAACAAAAACAAAATTAAAAAAACACGAAGTCTTGCTAAATACAAACACACACACCACATATGTTGAATGTTAGCTTTTAATTAAGCTGGCTTTTAATCATCAAGTTCCTTTAAAATAAATCCTTTTAAATCTCATTACCGTATTTCAACTAGGACAAATTGCTGCTATTTCATCAGTACCAAATATCAAACCAGAAAGGGCTTGATTTAGGAACGAAACTTAGGCTGTCATGGTGGGAAAAAAAGAAGACAGAACCTTAGCTATGGAACTGAAGTATGGGGTGACAGTCATGGCTTTCTGTTTGGCTTGGCTAGCAAAAAAGTGGCCTTGTTATGTAAATAAAGCTCATTTAATAGTTAATCCTTTTTCTGGCCATTTGTCTCTCCCACCACAGCTCCTCCTTCTCCTCCTCCTCCTCCTCCTCTTCTTCTTCTTGTCCTTCTCCTTCTTCCTCTTCTTCCTCTTCTTCTTCTTCTTTTTTTTTTTGTTTTGTGGGAATTTAGCCACTTCAGCAAACTTGTTCTCTGAAAAAGGCTTAGCTATTACAATAGTTTGGGGCCTTCCCGAGCTTAAACCTACTGGGCAATATAAACATATCACATATTTGTGACATTAAAATTTTATGGAGGTGGGGTTAGGAAAAAGTATCTAGAAACCTTCTAGGAGTTAATAAAGAAAAATTGTTTATAAAACAGTATTTCAAAGCCGTTTTTTATCCTAAATTCTAAATGTATGGCACTTCCATAAAAACTGATATTCTAGAATGTGATCCTTGTTCAGTATGTATCTTTAATATAAACTAAGAAAAGTATCACCAAGCAGTGAGAATTAAACTGATTATTCATTTAGATAGCCATTGCAAATTTAGGTGATCTTTGAAAAAAGAATTAAGTTATACACTTAACTCACAACATAAATCAGTGAAATTTCAGAAAGATTAAATGTTACATGCTTAGATATTAGCAGGGTTAGTTTTTGGGAGACTGAGTGAGTTGAGAACAGACAAAATCCAGAGATGTTTCCTCTTACTTCAAAACCTGTGCTGGTAGACTGAGTTTTCCCCAAGAATTTGATGTTGCTTCCTTTTTAAAAAACAGTTAGAGATTCCCACCCTGCCCCACCCCCAGCCTTAGAAAAAATAGTGGACTTTCTGCACAGAAGTGAAAAAAAGTGCTAAGACTTTTTTTAAAACTTTATCTCCTTTTATTTAACCTCCTCCGTCTGTTTAAGAACAACAGGGCCTCATCTGTTTTCATGGGGCAGATGGTTCCCAACGCTCTGTATAGTGTCTTGCATTTTGTAGTCTAGGCTGCAACTTCTTTACTTTTTTTTTTTATGTTGGAATTCACCCCTTTACAAGCTATTCATTGAATTTCACTATCAAACATACTCTCTTTAACTTTTAATACTTAATTCCTTTGATTTTTAAACTACTCTTCTAATTTTACTAGTGTCTCAGATGAGGAAAGACAAATCTTTTTTTTTTTCCTGTCCTCCATCTTGAACTTCTCATGAACAACTGTTAAAAATTCATTTTGCTAAAATTTGTATTTCATTCAAGGATTCTGCATCTCCACTAATAATTACTACATCTCAGCAAGCCCCAGATTTCTTGTAAGGGAAGGGATTCAACTTCTGGACCCATGAATGAAAAGAGCATGGGGGAAAAGTGATGTACTTGTAATCCTATTAATTGCCTGTGAGCCACAAATTCCTCATAAGCTAGCCTTCAGTTGTCCTTATCATAATTTTACATGGTTTTACTAAATTAGAAATACATAATAATTCATTTTATGAAATACATGTGCCTTTAAAGCCTTGGCTGAAAATTTTTTAACATTTAAAAAATGGAATTAAAAATTAATAAATTTATATAGTACAATATTATCTTTATTTACCTAGGGTTCATAATAATAAGTATGTCAAATTTCAAAAAAATTAGAGCTCTCAAAACAAACTTGCATTTTTTATATAAAAATACATTCAACTTTTAGTAAAAATTGTTTATATTAATGTCAATATTTTTGGTGAAGTAAAATTGAATGTAGAAATTTTACATTTAAATTTTATTTTAGTTGTTGAATTTTTTATATTATTCTGTATAAGATGTTTAATTGAAGGTATTAACAAGAATGCCTTATATAAATTAAATCTGTTTATGGATGTAAAATATAGCACTTTTAACATTCAATGAAGTAAAACCAATTCAGTGTAAGAGCAAATTAGGCAGTAAACTTGTTTTTAGAAGGAAACTTTGAAAATGTGCCTTGTACTATATGATAACATTAAAATAAGTTACAAAAGTGTTTCGAAAAATCATTTATGTGTTATTGAAAATAGTAAGAAGGAACAATGTACTCAACACCTCATTGCATTGATGCCTGTTTTATGGCTTCATTAATAATGGGTTAATTTAACAATGTATGCTCATTGAGAGAGCTGACTTTTTTCTTGTATGCACAAATTATTCTATTTACATTTGAATTTAAACTCATAACTAAAAATATCTGTTGCTTAAATGAAATACAGGGAGCTAACTTTTTTTTTTTCTGGATGCTACCATGAAAGCATAAAAAACTCCAATTTTAACAAAGGTAATTATTTTTTAATTATTTACTAAAAGGTGTACATTGTAAGTGGCTCCCAAATATAGAATATGAATAGTTTATAATTAGCCTTTTTGTAACATTAAGCAGAACACTATAAATACTCTGTAGCACTAATGCAAATTACTGTATCACAATATTCTCTTTATAGCTGGTAAGTGTTGGACTCTATCTAAGAAGTCGCATTAAAAAGACCTTTAGGTTTTTTCAGTTTTACCTAAGAAGAAATCCTATAGCATGAAACACAATGACAGTACTTTAGCTATAAATAGACATTATTATTTACAGTAGAAAAACTCTACATATATCTCTTTTCATGATAAAATTGTGTAAAATTATTCTAAAGAAATTCTCTTAAAATAATTCTCAAGTTAAAACACTATTTTAACTTCAGAAATGTCTGCTTCTTCAAAGCATCTCCTTTGAGTTCACATCTATATAATTGCTCCCTTAATAAGAGTAATTATTACCAGCTTTAAGGAATATTTCAATCTTACAACTCCCCTCCCACCAAAAAAATAGGCTGTTTGTCTTCAGCTTGGGCTTTTCCCATGAACATCAGATGATAAATCTACCTCTATATTCAACACCTTCACCTGGATGCCCAACAAGCAACCCAAGCTTCGAAATATCCAAACTGAGCTCCAAGTCTTTACTCATCAAACTTGGACTACTGAAATTTTCTCTCATATCAGTTATTGCCAAGCTCCTCCTTTCAATTTTCCAACTCTAGAATACTGGAATTATTCCTGACTTTATCTTTCTCTTACACTATTTGATCCATCAGAAAATTCTTTGGCTTTTACCACTTCCCCTTATCTCCATTGCTATCATTCTGATTCAAATTAATGTCATCTTTAGACCCTATTTTTATGTTTGTTTTTCCTCTTTCCTTCCGTAGTTCATTCAATACAGCTAAACAGAGTTCTCCTTTGGTGTTATAACCATATCTACTGCTCAAAACCATTCAAGTTACAAATTGCACCATATTGCTTGTCTCTGATATTAAATATCTTACTCCTCAGAATTTATTTCTTTCTACATTTCTTTTGTTGCTTTGCTCTAAGTAGTTTCACGTTCCTCATTTATACCAAAAATATCTCCATCAAGCAAATTTTGCATTTGCTTTTCTCTCTTATCTTATTCAGTCCAGGCTGTCATAACCAAATACCAAAGACTGAGTGGCTTAAACAACATTTATTTCTCATTGCTCAGGAGGTTAGGAAGTCCAAGATCAAACCTTAGGCAGATCCAGTTTCTAATCAGGGCTCTCTTTCTGGTTTGCAAAAGATGGTCTTCTGCTTGTATCCTCATCTGACAAAGAGAGCAAGCTCTAGTTTCTTTCTCTTTTCATAAGGGCACTAATCCCATCATGAGGACTCTACCCTCATCACTTCATGTAAACCCAACAACTTCCCAAACATCCTACTTCCAAATACCATACTATTGGGGGTTAGCGGTTCCTCAGGTGAATTTCGGGGGAACACACATATACCATCCAATACATGCCACACCCTAGTCCCCCAAAACTCATTCCTTGCTCATATGAAAAATACATTCGTTCCATCTCAACAGCCCACAAAGTGACTTTGGACTAAAATCCAAAGTCACATCTAAATGTCATCTCAAATAGATATGGGTGAGACTCTAGGTACAATTATCCTGAGGCAGAATTTCTTTTCAGCTGTGATCCTGTGAAATCAAACACGTTATATACTTCCAAAAGAAAGTGGTGGGACAAACATAGGATAGACGTTCTTATTTCAAAAGGGGAAATAGTAAAGAAGAAAGGATTTATGGGTCCCAAGCAATTTCAAAATCTGCATTTCCTAACCCCTGCTCTGCTTTATTCATCAGGTTCATCTCATTAGAATGTGAGGTTCAAGAGAACAGATTTTTCCCTCCATCCCTATTTACTCAAGAAACTTTGTATATAGAAGATGATGCATATTGAATATACCATTGACTAAATGAATAAATGTATACTAAAAATTAAATATTTTGACTTTTCAAATAATTTAGTAAAGATAAATAATTTCAGGATTTAAGAAAATTATATCATCAATATGACTATAGCAATAAGAAGTAAGAAGATTAAACTCAAACGACAATTGTTTTGATCCATCAGATCATACAATGTTTTAAGACTACATAGAAGAAAGTATTTGAAGAAAAATGGTTTAAAATGTCAGTTTATCAAAAGATAGATTATCTTGATTTTGGGATTTAAGATTGGTAATCTTAATTGATTAAAGTTTATCTGTCTCAGAGTCATCACCAATAATTGACTGTTGAGCTAGGCATGGGACACTCTGACTCATGTCCCCTCTTAATTGAATTTGAAACAAAAACAGAATAACTTGGGTAATCTTTAACCACTTATGTGAGAATAAACTAAAATACTAAAAGAAATTCATTTAGGCTAAAAGGACAACTGAATAAAATACTTCTACAGGTTTGCAGGTGGTAACCATGCATAGTTTCCTTCTGTAAGTTAGTGATGTGATCAGTCTGAGAGACTATATATATATATGCCCTTATATATTCTACTAATATATGCCATATATATATCCTAAATATATTCTACTGTTGCATAAAGGGAGGGAGTTTTAAAAATCATTCTATTACCAGTGTGAAGAAAAAATTGGTAAAGAATTCCCCAGATGTCCTCAATCTTGTTAGGAGTGGTAAAGGGTAAAACTGCATGTTAACAGTAGACTCACCTTTTGTTCAACAAGGGTCAAGAGTTAACCGTTGCCCTAGATCTAAAGATTATGCTTTCTTAAGCCTTCTGTCTCCTTCTTCAGGGATAAAGAGGAAGCCTGAGACTTAGAGTAAAACTCTTATCTTCAGAAGTCTCAACCCATCAAAAATTTACAAAGCAAAGCCCATAAACCAGTTTTACATAGGCTTATTTCTCTCTTGACATGTGTCAAGGTGAACTCACACTCCTGGTATAAAACACACCTCCTCTAGGGTTTATTTCTGCCAACAGAAGCCAGAGGGGCTCTCATTATGGAACTAAATTAGAGCTTCTCCACACTCCTTGGCTCCACTGACACCTTGACTTTTACACCCACTATCTATCTTGAATCTATTACAACTATTTTCATTCTACCTTTTCTGTTTTTGTTACTTACCTCAAGAAAGCCTCGAACTACCAGGTCATCCCTTATTACTGTATTCTACATCTCATGAAGCTCCACACAGTCACAAATTATCACCTCCTACCTTTTCCATTCTACTGTTGATGGATACTGGGCCATTTTCAGGTTCTGGTTATTACTGATAATGTTAGAAACATTGCTGTACATTTATCTTTGTGCACATGTGCAGACATTTCTGTGACATATACGTAAGGTTTCCACATAAAACACAGATATCCAGTTAAATATCTAAATTTCAGATAAACTTGTACTAAAGATAACTTGTTAGTATAAGTATCATTAAGTATTCACTCCTTCCAACTCTCACTTGGCACTGTGGAACTCACAGTCCATCAACAAGAAAATTGCTTGCCTCCTCAGCTTCACTGAATTGTCTCTTCACGTTCTCATTCTGACAAAAACCTGTGTTTGTCTGAAAACACTGGATTACCAGCAGACCTCTCATGTATTATTATTTCTTTTTCTCCCAGAGTCCTCACGCCTCTGGGACTGGGGGTTGGTAGGAATCTTTCTTTTTCTTTATTGCTAATTTTCAACCATTCTTCCTCTTTCATTCTTTAAACCTCTCAGTTTTGAAACATGCTATCATATTGTATGATCCAGAACTACTGATTACTGTTCCATCAACTTTTTGTATACTCCTTGAATTTCTCTGTGAATTTAATTCTTGTTACTTATTATTTTCTCCAACAGTGAACCTATTTTAATGTTTAGAGATTTTAATTAATAATATATTGATGATCCCTTCAACATCCTGGCTCCTCATGTCCTTGAAATGCTCTCTTCTGAGAATCTTAGCAAACCATTCCTATGATCATGCTCTAGATCTGGTTATCAATAATAATTGAAGTGCTCTTGGTTTTCATCATGTCTCATGGATTATTACAACTCACATTCTTTTTCTGGTTCCTTCTGGTCTCTCCTCTTCTTCCAGACGTGAATATTATGACCCTCACTCTTGCAGTCTTCCTCTTTGTCATTTATAGCAATTCCTTTCTTCCAATTACTAAGGCAAAAACTTATCTTTAATTTTGTTTTCTTTCACAACTTACATCTATTTCAGCAAGAAATCTTCCTATCTCTACCATCAAAGTAGGTTCAGAATCTGACCACTTCTCACCATCTCAGCTGCTGTGGTCCTGGTTCAAGCAGCCATCCTCTATCACTTACATTGCAAGAATAGTTTATCAATAGGTTATCCTAACTCCACCTTTGTGCTTTCAAAGTCTAACCTCTAAATTCCAGCTGATAAATACTTTTAAAATGTATTTTAGGTGAAGTTGTTTTGCTGCTTAAAATTCTTAAACGGTTGTCGTTTAATTAAGCCTATAATCGCAATCCTTACAATGTCTTCCAATTCCTTAGACTCTCTAGACTCCTGTAACCTCCCTGACTTTATTTACACTCTGTCTTCACTCACTTTCCTCTTGGCACACTGACCTCTTTGCCAGTCCATGAACCACCGGGCTTATGTCCCCACCTTAAGCTTTTGCAATGGATTTTCCCTCTGCCTGGTGTACTCCTTCCCTAGTTATATGCAGACCTATTTCCTTATATTCTTTAAGTCTGTTCTCAATGGTTATACTCTCAGTGACTTATCAACCTATCTAAATTGCACAAATCTCCTCTCTTATGCCTGCAAATCCTCCACACCCTGCTCTATTTATTTTTAAATTATATATATCACCATTTAATATAGGCTGTTTGTGGTTTATTCACTGTTTCCCTCTTTGGAATGTATGCTTGACAGAGATAAGGTTGGATATCTGGCACCTAGTCGATACTCAACACATATTTGCTGCATTAATCGAGTAAACCAATGTTTTTTAAAGTGGTACAATTTTGTAAGTATTTGCTTTTCTTTAGGCAATATGAATCTTGTCTATAGCTATTCAACATCATTTTCTTATGATAAATAAACTTTATAATTCACTCACCTTCACTGACATGTAGAGACAGCTAGGTTAAGAGTATTATTCATAAACCCAGGTTCTGAAACAAATTGAGTGCACAAATAATGCTAGTATATATATATATATTTTTTTTCAGGGGGGTTCCTTAACAACATTTCCTTGTTCTTCCTTATGCCATCTTCTCCTAGCTAATTTCTACTTCAAATTTAATGTTTTCTTATAAGAAAAGATGTCCTTTAATAATAAAGTAATTTTATTGTAAACTACTATACATTACCTCACTTAAATCATAATTTCTACAATTGTAATTAGATAATTGCTTCACACCAAGTTTACCTTTTCCCAATAAAATAATAAGTAATTTTATTATAAACTAGTATACATAAACTCACTTAAATAATACTTTCTACAATTGTACTTAGGTAATTGCTTCAATCCATATTTATCTTTTCCCAATAATGAGTTTCATTAATATAAGAATTGGTCACATTACATTTCTCTAGTATCTATTTATAATTTGTATAGCAATACCCAATAACTATTGAAATATTCCAAAAATAATGGTAATTTTGTGTTGAATAAATTATATACAAGGAAATCAATGGCTTTATAAACCCAACTATATTTTCTGACAATCAATTCATATTATTTTTTGCTAATGAGTATTACAAAACATTCTCATTAAGAATGATTGTCAACAATAATATTAGGTATCATTAAAACACTTGAATTTGCATTTGGCAAAATTTACAATATAATTAATATATTTATGTACATTTGTACAAGAATGAACATTACATTTCTTAAATGTTCAATGAATAGCATATTGCAAGTTCTTAAATGATTGATTTTATTTAACAGGATCATTAAAATTATCTATCCTAATTTTGCTTACGAAGTATCAAGGATGAGATCTGTTTAAATACTGAAGCTGAGTGGCCTAGAGAATCCCTATAACTTTCAAAGTTCACTTCAATCACATTTACTCATTTAATTTCAAAAAGTAACATTTTTGTTTGTTGTAATGTCATTTTAAAGTTCTTAGTTTTTGCTATATGGTATATCATTTTAAGCATAAATTATCTAATGAATAACACTGTCATCCAAAATAAGTTATCTTATTAGATTATACACTAGAAAAATATGCCCTGGGAATTCCCAAAGCATTTGGAGCATAGTAAAAATTTTTAAAATGAATTAGACTTTATGAACTAGTTTAGCTCCTGAAAAAAAGATACTAAAAATATATGTCTTTATAGCCTTAGGCAGGAATGAAACTATATATCAAAACCACACTGTTACTGCAATTGATATATTTAATCATTGACTATGGAATATGGCACTCCTCTATACAGGAATACTTATTTTTATCAATCAATAATATTAAATGAAAATGACTTTTCATCAATCTCACCAAGAGCAGTCATGCTTTTCTAGTTTGAAACCTGCTATAAAAATATGTCTTTGGCTATCAAATCTCTATGGCAAACAGAGCTGAAAATGCTAGCTCGAATTAGTTTGTGAGAGAGTAAATAGCCCTATTTGGTCTTGACCAAGTTTTAAAAGATGTTCTTAGGTTACAAAATTGGATAAAAGCTAAATGCTACATTTAAGAATCTTCTTAAAATTTATGGTGAAGTAAACAGTTGTATAAATTTCAACCAACGTTTCATCAGAAGTGAGTTTCAAGTGGTAATTTGTAAATATTAATTACTCATTAAATATAATTCCAAAGTAAATGAAAAGAGAATCTTTAAAATATAGCATAAGAATGTATTCTCTGTAAATAAATAAAAATGCAAAATTTTAACCCAGATTTATTTTTATGGAATATTATTTTAACAACATTTTAAGTTATTTTATTATATTACTATATGATAAAGTCTTTTATTATTTTTATAAAGAAGTGTTGAAAACATAAAACATCATAGCGTAAGTAATACATTTTGTAATCTGACATAACCAAACAATTTAATGATTTTGGAACATCCTGCTTAAAAAAATTTGATTTTCTGGTGTGCTTTGACCAAAGTGCATGATATATAATAAAAATATAAAATTAGAGTGCCTGTCATTCAGAACCCAGACTTGCATAAGATATATTGGTTTCATGTTAAAAATTGCAATTTTTATGTTTACTATCACTTTCATTTGATTTTTAAGCTGCCATGTTAGTTTATATTGTGAAGAAAATATAATTAATATTGATCTATTTTTTAATTTGGTTTCAAAAATACAGTAGAAAGTTTTAATGCTAAGAAGTACAAAGGTAGACAAATAAATGATCTATTGAAATATGAATGAGGTCTAGAGACTGAGTGTTTCTTGTATATATAAGAAGATGTTACACAATAACTTTTGATATTGCATATTCATATAAAAGTATGAGGAAATTATGTCGTCCAATTTCTGAACAGAATACTAACATAAGCCATAAAAAAACCCCCAATAATGGTCTTAGGTCATGCCAGCAAGATACACAGCAGCAAAAATGGACCAGTGATCACGTTGCTAACATCCAGAATTTACATGTACTATTTAGTTTTAATTTTATGTAAGAAATATAATATATACTAATTATAAATAACATGAATTATTAAAGCACTATGAAGAAATTCTTCTGTCATCCACTTAGTCATACTGACCTCCTGGCTATTCTTCAAATATATTAAACAGGCTACCAGCACAGGCTATGGTTCCTATTGTTCCTTATACTCTTAATACTTTCTACCAAGAAGGAGTTCCTTGATTCACTCCCATGCAACATGACCCTGTCCCTATCCCAATACCTTGCTTTTCGCGTCTTTTACAGCTCCTTTCATTATTTGGTATATCATATATTTATCTTTTTTTTTCTATATGTAGCCCCTAACTGCAATTTAATCTCCATAAGAACAAATACTTTCGCCACTTAGTTTACTACTGAATCCTTCATGTCTTTACTAATTCTGGGCAAGTAGTAGATACTCTGCAAATATTTGTAGAATGAATAAACATCTCTAATCTACCCCTCTCTCCAAAAGTTGAAATTTAAATATGCGCGTTGCAACTCATGGTCTGGGCAACATATATTGTGACGATGAAAGAATCTTTGACACAGCAAGAGCAGGAAACTGCAAGAGGAGGAAACCATTTCTAGAACTAGAGATAGCATGCAAGGCCTGGAGGAAGCAACTTGAAAAGAGACGTGACTCTAGTTTGGAGATGTCAGTCCTTGGCAACTCCAGAAGAAGGGAGCCTGAAAAATAAGACCTTGACCTAACTGCCTACCCTACCTCCAATCTCTTGCTGGGGCTCACAATGGCAGAAGTAATAAAATTCCAAAGAACAAGGGAGCCCATTGAGACCGATCATTTAGGTCAGCCTCCCATATAGGTCTGGGCAAACACAGAGATGAAAATAGACTTGGAGGGAGAAACAAAAACAAATTAGCACAATAACATTTTCAAACACTTTTACAGTTATTTCTGATTCACAAAGCACTCTATGTGGCCAAAATCCCATATATTAAACACTTCTCGGATGTAAAATGGATGTAATAAAAGTAAATTCCTTATATAGTTTATATAAATATTCAATAAGTTAATTCTGTTAAAGTGCTTAGTGGGTGCCTGCCATGTAGATAATGCTCAATAAAAACCAGCCATTATTATTTTACTTTTATTGCTGGGTTATTGAGTTTCAGTAATTATAAATTATTTTTTTCAGTAATTATATAAAAGTTTTTTTGCATAAATCTTTGAAAGAGTTTCTATTTTTCAGAATTAATCATTTGCATAGTGGTCTTATAGGGACAAACTATTAAAAAGGCATATTTTATGTTACATATGTTTATATCACTACATTGAAATTTGGTAACGATTTTTATTCTCAGAACAATAATTGAGGAGACTTATCACCACTCACTTATTGAAACAGTATTCACAAGATTTACATTTTTGTTAGTTTGACAGATAAAAATCCTATCAGATTATTTTTAATTTAAAGTATCTCACTAGATTTTATATGTTTACTAGACCCATTTAAAATATATGTGTAATGGGAAAGATGTTATTGAAAACCAAGACTTACAGGTCACTTCTGTTTTTGTTGTTTGTTTTTTTTGAAATGTGGTCTCGCTTTGTCACCAGACTAGAGTGCAGTGGCACAATCTCAGCTCACTGCAACCTCCACCTCCCGGGTTCAAGTGATTCTCCTGCCTCAGCCTCCCAAGGAGTTGGGACTACAGGTGTGTGCCACCACATCCAGCTAATTTTTGTATTTTGGTAGAGATGGGGTTTCACTATGTTGGCCAGCAAGGTTTCAATCTCTTGACCTCCTGACCTGCCTGCCTCAGCCTCCCAAAGTGCTGGGATTACAGGCGTGAGCCACTGCGCCCAGTCCACTTCTGTTTTTTCAAGGTTAGAAATCTAATTTTTGTGAATGGTGAAAAGAGTTTTTAAATTCTCTTATTCTTAGAGACTTTAAGGGGAAGGAAGAAAATACTGAAATTTTCAAATTTTTAAAATGTTTCAAATTTCAAATGTTTACTCAGCAATGAAAAGCTGGAGTCTTCAGCCCATTTCAATGTTGGTTAAATATCAGTTTGCTTTAGTTGGTGAAATATAGAGGAGATCCAGAAAGGTTTGAGATCTAAATTTTACTTGGAAGAATTTAAATTTAAAGGGAATTTGAAGGGAGAAGATCTACAAAGAGAGGTAGAAGGAAGATATCCATTGTCAGGTATGTGATTTTCAAATATACTGGCTCTGTCTGTGATTTGCATATTCATTTTCTTAACAGTGCTTTTTGATGACAAGAATATTTTAAATTTAAAGAAGTCCAACTTAGCACACTTTTATTTATGGTTAGTAGTTTTCTGTGATCTCTGTAAGAAATATCAATGAAATATCCTGCTATGTGTTCTTTTAGTCGTTACAATTTTAATTTTTTTGTTATTTTGATCTATCATGAATAATTTTTGTATATAGTATGAAACAGGCATTGACCTATTTTTTTCCTACATAGACATTCATTTTTTCCAGTACTACTGGTAAAGGTTTTATTTTTCTCATTGATGGCACCAGGACTCTTTTTAAAAATCATCTAACATAAAAGCTTATTCTTTCACAAATTTCACTATTACGAACACTGTAACTTTTAGAAAATTTTAAAGTCAAGAGACTCAATCTTTAACAATTTTATTGTTGTTCCATAAAAAAAAAGGTTTTGGTTAGTCTAGGTGTTCTGTATTTTAATGCATATATATTTTAGAACCAGTTGGCAATTTTGTTTGGAATTTTGTTTGGGCTTGCATTGAATCTATACATCAATGTGGGTAGTTCAGTTACTTTAACAATACATATTATTTCAAATTATAAATTTGCTGTATCTCTTCATTTATTTAGGTGTTCTTTAATTGCTCTCAGCAGAGAATTTTGTTTTGCAATAAATATTTTTTCTTAAATTGATCCCTAAATATATTGTGACCGTGGATGCTATTGCTGATGTCAATCTTTAAAAAAATTATATTCCAATTGCCTGTGTTAATGTGTAGATTTTAATATATTTATTATGTGATATTACTAAATTCATTTATTAAGGTTAGCCTTTTTGCAGTTTTCTTACAATTTTCTGTGCATTTTCTAGTTATCTGAGACTAAAAGCAGTTTTACTTCTTATTATTGTTACAGTTTTTAAATTTTTTACACAACGTATTCCATTTGCAAGAGACAGATAAAGTAGTGTTTAGAGAAAGACAAATTGACTTAAACACACGTTCATTTAAGACAAAGAGTTAGAAAAATGAATCATCAATAGACAGGCAATAGACCATAAGTAAGGCAAACTTAAAGAGGGTTTATATAATTGATGTCAAAATTTATCAAAGAGCTGTAGGAACCTTGACTGTGTGGAATGGGTGCTCTAACAGAAACACTGCACAATGGAGGAAGAAAACATGTTTAGAAGCAGTCCCTCACATGCTCAGTGCTTGACAATTGAAATTGACACTTTAGTATATTTGAGTGAGGATAATCATCACAATAGATTTTGCTGGATCAATTGGTTATTATGTAGGAGAAAATGAATATGGATTCATATGACATGTCATATACATATAAATTCCAGATTCACTTTAGGTCTCTGTGAAAAATAAAATAATAAAGTCATTACAACACAATATGGAAAATAACTTCATGAACACTAACATTATCAGAAGTTTCATTAGCAAAAATGTAATAAATCATAATACAATAAGATATTATATACCACGTAAAATATTTAAAAAGTTGTTTATTCAAAGATATCAAAAAGGAGTGAAAAGGTAAGTTATTGATTGAAAAATTATTTCCCTCATGTATTTCCCCCAAAATATGAATATAGAGGATATCAATAAACCTTCTAAATTAATGGAATAAAATTTAAAATTTAAAATTTGGCAAGAGACTTGAACAGATAATTTACTAAAAAAAAAAAAAATACAAATAGATAAGAAACCCATGAGAAGCTCATCAGTCTTTTAATTATCATTACAATCTACGTAAAACCATAATGTGAAATACTGCATACTACTAAAATGGCTAAAATGGAGAAGATAGAAAGCATTTATCGTTAATGAGAAAATAGAATAATCAGAAGTGTTATACAATGGTCGATTGCACAAACTTTGAAAAACCATTTGGCAGTACCTACTCAGTTTGATACTCTATGGCTAAAACATATATCCCAATGTATATGCTAACTAAAATGCCTATATGTCTTCACAAAGCCATCTGCAAGAAGGCTCTGGGTAGCAGTGTTGTGACAAGCAGGATAGTACTTCCCTACTCTGGCCACACAAGATACACATTCTTTATTCTAAAAAGCTGTAATTATCTTATGATAATTATCTTGTGATAAAAGGGCCTTGCAGATATCATCAAGGTTAAAGACTTTAAAGTAAAGAGATCATCTTGGATTATCTGGTTGTGCTACTCTAATCACATAAATCCTTAAAAGCAGAGAAATTTCTCCAGCTGAAGGAGAAAAAATGTGGCATAAGTGAAAGAGCAATTAAAAGCATAACAAGAACTTAACGTGTTCCTGCTGGTCTGAAGCTGGAAGTGACAACCTGACAAAAATGTGGGTTATCTCAAGGAGATGAGAGAAGCCTCAGGCTTAAAGCCTGCAGGGAAACAGGTACTCAGCCCCGCAAGGAAGGAACTGAATTCTGCCCACAAACTGAATTTGTCTAGAGGCAGCTTCTTCCCCAGGACCCCCAGATATTGCCCAGCTGGCTGACACCTTGAATTCAGTCTTATGAGACTTGGGACAAAGGAAACAAATAAGCCAATCTGAATTTCTGACTTAATAGAACTGTGAGATAACTAATTAGTTTTTTAATCCACTAAATTTGTTAGTTTGTTCTGGAAGTAAAGAAAAATAATATACCTATTCATTACAGCCTCAAACTAAAAAGAAACAACTAATTTTCCTCTAAAGTAGAATGAATGCAAACATTCCAGCATAAACATATGATGCAATAAAATACAGCAGTGAAAACGAACTGAATGTCACTTTATACTATAGCATAACAAATCTCACCCACCAAAAATGTTGAATAAAAGAAGTCAAAGATAGAGAAGTGCATACTGTATGATTTTATTCAAGTGCCTCTAGATGTTAGGATACTGTGAAATTTTGGGCAGGAATCCTAACTGGAAATATGCATGAGAGAGTTTTTGAGATTTGGGTAATGTTTCTTTTACATATTGCTAGTTACAATTTGTGTTCATTTTGAGAACATTTATCAAGCTGCATCTTAATAATTGTTCCCATAAAATATTAGGTGAACATATAGTACTAAATATCAACAGTTCTTAGATAACTAAAATGAATAATCCATTGGAAGAGTCAGTCCAATGAATACAACAGAAATTCCAGAAACATATTCATACAAATATGATCATGTGATTTATGACAAAGAGGACTCTATCATGCAACAGAGAAATAAATGGTTTTCAATAAATGGTGCTAGTTTAATTGGATATCCATATTAAAAAATGAATTTTGAACTCCAACTCACACTATATGAAAAAGATTAATTTCAGATAGATTGTAGATCTAAAAAGGAAAGAAAAACAATTAAGCTTTTTATATAAGAACCTACATGGGATAGGCAAAGATTTATTAAATGACATAAAAGTACTAACCATTAAAGAAAAAATATTATAATCTGGACTATATTAAAAATGACAATTTCTTGGAATCAGGAAAGATAAATCTTAAAGAGTGAAAATAAAATATTTATAGTGAGAAAAGATCTTTGCAATATATATTAGAGAAAAAATTTATGCAATAATACTCTTTATTAGTGGGGCATATGTTTGAGGATCCCCGGTGGATGCCTGAAACTGAGTAGTACTGAACCTCACATGTACTATTTTTTTCTATACATACATACTTATGATAAAGTTTGACTTAAGCACAGTAAGAGATTAATGACAGTGACTCATTAGTAAAATAGAACAGTTACAATAATATATTGGAAAGTAAAATAAGGTTTACTTGAATACAAGCACTATGATACTCTGACAGTCAATCCAACAACCAAGAAGGCTAAGTGATTAATAGAGAGGTAGACAGTAGACAGATTGGTATAGTACATGATTTCATCACAATACGCAGAACAGGAGTGCAGTTTACAATTTATTAATTGATTATTTCTGGAATTTTTATCTAATATTTTGGTCTGTGGTTGATTACAGGTAACACAAACAATTAATCAATTGTTTGTTTACCCCTGCAAAGTAAATAACAATAATTCAAGTAAACCAACAGAAAAAAAATGTGCAAAATATTTCACAGGCACAGAAAAGAAGATGTTAAAATGACCAAAGCATTAGAAAATTTGCTCAATTTCATTAACTTTCAGGGAAATGCAAATTAAAACCACTATATCAGACCATTACACATCAACAAAATGAGTAAAGGTAGAAATGAACAAAACTCCAAATCATACAGGTGTTGAGGCTGAAAAGAAATTTGAACTCACATACACAATGAAAATCTAGAATTCTATCTGCTTTTATATTTATAATCAATTTTCACGTTCCTTGGGTTTTTCATTTATCAGACTTTTGTGTCTAATTTGTACTCATTTTTGTGATTATTTTCTTATTTAATAATGAATATACATAACTATATATACTCGGATATATATATATAGTTGGAGATATATATTATATATAGTTGGATATATATGTGTGTGTGTATATATGTGTGTGTGTGTGTGTGTATATATATATATATATATCCAGGAAGGTAAGAAGTCTGGCTGTATTTTAAGCTATCTACTGATCACTGTTGAATTTAATTGGTAAAAATCAGACAATGGTGAAGCACAGAGGATTTTTAGGGCATAAAACTACTCTATATGATACTATAATGGTGGAAACATGTCATCATTGAAACCCATAGAATGCACAACACCAAGAGAGAACTCTATTATGAACTATGAGCTTTGGTTGATGATGTATCAATGTTGGCTCATCAGTTATAACAAATGTACCACTCTGGTGTGGCATGTTGTCAATGGGAAATACTAAGCATGTGTTGGGGCAGGAGATATACGGTATATGTTTAAAACTTTTTCTCAATTTTGTTGTGGGCCCAAAAATGTTCTAAAAAGATCTATAAAAAAAGCATACATACACACACACACATCAATGTATTTAAGTCTCAACAGTTACCCTTCTTTAATTTTTTCATATATTTTAACCATTAATATTAGTATATTTAATTGCTTTCATATTGAATGCATAATTCAGATGATTATATTTGCACTTGGGAGAATATGTTTTCTAAGTGTCCATTTTGATGTTTATAACTATAACTTCTTTTAAAATACTTTAATGTTATCATGTGTCACGTATTTTTTATGCTTTATAATTGGCAAAAATCAGTTGCTAATCTTTTTATTATTAGTCCTTCATGTCATCTTGTTTTATTTTGGGAGTGCTTGTTTTTAGATTGGAATAATAGCAGTTTCAAGTACGTGAATTACCTCAGGAAACAACATTTGTAGTATATTTTAGAATGTTAGAGTACTTAAGACTGTGTTTCTGAAAGTTTATTTAGACAATTTATTTTGACTTACTATAAAAACTGAAAAATAATTTCTAGAATAATGATAATTGCATCTCTAAATAGCATCTAAATGTAATTTTTGAAGAAGTTTTACAGATTTTCTATGTCTCACATTATCATTGATTCAATGTTTAAAGAACATAATTTATTTAAAAATTTCATATAAACAAAATATGCTCTGTAGTTGAAAAAAATAGATCTCTGCTTCTATGATGGCGGAGTATTTCACTTCTAAACACCTATTGTAACTTGATATTAGTCTCTTAATAATATTAAATAAAATGCTAACTGATTTTATAGTATAATAAAATGATATTACAATATCTTATGTTTTATTTTTTCTAATCCATTGAAAAATTAATGGATTAGATAAATCTTTTCTTTATTGATGGAATGATCCTTTTTATTTCTGCACTTTTTTACATGTTATATCTATCCTTTTACTCTGCTACAACAAGTATTTTATCTTTTTCTCTATTGTTTGAATTATATTGATATCGGATTGAAAAAGGAACAAACAGTATATAGCTCATTATTTTCACATTATTGAGAAACAGAAGAGTTGCTTATTTGTAAGTCATCAAAGCTAAACTTTCCTGTTTTTCAGTGAAGATTTCTTTCAACAATGTATGTTTTTTTCTATAAATCCCTAGAGAAAATCTTACTGTGAAATAGCTTCAAATTTTAAATTTCTTCATTTTTAAATAGTATTTCCCAGAATACGTAATTATATGCTGAGGAAATTACAAAAATATTTAAACATCCAAAACTTTTTTGTTTTTTATACACATTATCTCTGTTGCATCTTCTAACTTTCCCCAATGCCTTGACTTGACCTAGAATGAGTACTACTGAGATATGTTTTTCTATTAGCTTCCTTGTTACAGGGATACGGATACATTTTTTTTTTTAAATTGAGACAGGCTCGCTCTGTCACCCAGGCTGAAGTGCAGTGGCACGACCTCAGCTCACTGCAACCTCCACCTCCTGGATTTAAGCAATTCTCTGCTGCAGCCTCCCAAGTAGCTGGGATTACAGGTGCGTGCCACCATGCCCAGCTAATTTTTTGTATTTTTAGTAGAGACGAGGTTTCACCATCTTGACCAGGCTGGTCTTGAACTCCTGACCTCGTGATCCAGCCACCTTAGCCTCCCAAAGTGCTGGGATTACAGGCATGAGCCACCGCGCCCAGCCAGACACCTTTATAAAGTGCCTCTAATACAAAAGAGAGCCAAGAAATCAACTCCCTCTTGATGTGCCACTGGGCCCATGACAATTAATTTGTGCTGAATCAATGAGTGTGGCTTAGGTAATACCAACTTTGAATAATTTGTTGAGTTAGACTCTTTGGCCTAGGATAAGATAATAGTAGAGAATGTTACATTTGCATTTGAAAATTGTATATTATTATTTAATAGGATGTGCATACATCTCTTAAGTCAACCAGCTTGTCTTCTATAAACATTCTATAACCACTGAAAACAGTATGTTAAAGAGTCCTAATAGTATTTTGTATTTGTTCATTTTTTTAGCAATTGTTTTCTATATTTAATATACATTTTGAAGCAGTATTATTAGGTACTTGAAAGTCATTAGCATCATTTTCATTTTCAATGGATTTTTAAAAATTTTGTCAATATGAAATATCTTTATCTCTAACATTTTTGTCCTTAAAATTTTTAACTACATAAATATTTTTTGCATTCATCTCTGATTATGTAATTTTTCTTTACTGTTTCATCTCCTGACTTTTGTGAATAGAATATAAAAATGCTTCATTTCTAATTATTTATTGTGTTAATCATAATTTACATCACCTCAAAAATTTAGAATATTAATGTATATTTATTTGCCTTCACTCGTTTTCTTCCACAAAACTCAAACTTCCTGAGTAGATCTGGCAATCAAGTTGCAAATTTTCCCTTTACCGTAGAGCACAAAATGTGACATTTTGACTTTTTCTTCTTCCTTTCCTCCAATAGCCTCCTTCTCAGAGGTTACCTACTAATATGATTGTATTCTCCTGGCCTTTTTTCTATACATTTATGCACTTGTGTATTAAAATATACATATGTTAAATGTTCCCATATGCACTTCGCTTTACTTGTTATTTTATGTGCTGTTTTACACAAAGAGCAGTATTCTGCATGTATTATTCTGAAACATTTTTCTTATATAAACCTATTTCAGAAATATTTCTACACAAGTAAATCCTAGAGTTACTTGCCTTGTCATAACCAGGATAGTATTTTATATTTAGCATGAAACATGAAGTAACTAATCCTACACTGAGGGATATTGTATTAGTCATGGCTCTCCAGAGAGAGAGCCAATGGTATAATTCAATTTGAATTTAAAGACAAGAGAAACAGGGGAACTGATGGTGTAAATCCCAGTCTGAGGGCAGGAGAAGAGTCCCAGCTCCAAAAGTAAGGCTGAAAATTTTTCCTTTCTCTGTTTTGTTTGTTTATTTGTTATTATTCCATTCAGGCCCTCAATGGATTGAACAATGCCCAAGTACATTGGGGAAGACCATCTGCTTTCTGAGTTCACCATTTAAATGCTAATATCATCCAAAACACCCTCACAGACACACTCAGAAATTGTGTTCAATCCAAGCACCTGTGGTCCACTCAAGTTGACAGGGAAAATTTAAGCATCATGGACAGTTAAAGTCAATCCTCTCCATGGGGTTACAAACTAAAATTGTGAGAAAATACTTCTTTTTTCTTTTTTTTTACTTACCAGAGCTTGGATTTAAATAAGAAGAATATTTTAAATTCTATTAAATACTTCCAACTTGTTCTAAGGAAATGCCTCTACAAGTTTATATTATGACAAAAAATACAAAAACATGCCTATTTTTTATATCCTTACAAACTCTGGAAATTATTCAACTTCTTGATATTTCTCAATCGGATGATTAAAGAATGCTATTAAATTGTGGTTAGTTTTGTATTTCCATTATTAATGATGAGAGTAAGAATATTTTTGGTATCTTTATGGATGATTCAAATTTCCACTATCACTGCTTTTCACATATGCTGCAAATATTTATATTGAATTATTAGACTTTTTCATATCAATTTCTTGGAATTCTTATTTCAAATATTATTCCTTTGTGACATATATTGCATATAGTATCATGGGTCAGTTATTTGCCTGTAAATTTGCTTATGATATTTCTGCTATTCAGAAATATTTAATCAAGAAGTATAAATTATATATATCTTTATCTTTGTGCTCTTGATGTCCATGTTTTTTTTTAAAGATTTGTTTACAATTATAAAACATATTCTCTTACATTTTAGAGTGATAGTTTAGATAATTTTAATGATACATATTTTTATGAATGCTCTAAGAATGACACTTATTTTTTTAAAGAATTGTCTCAGCCCTATTTGCATTATTTCTTCAGTCCCCACTTATCTGAAAATCAGCCATTATCATGTAACAACATCTTTTTCTTACCTGAGTAGATTTTCAAATTTTCCTTTTGATACAATTGATATACTTACTTAATTTTGTGCAAATATATCTTGACGTATTTACTTAAATCCTTTTCCAAATTGACTTGCCTCATTTTGGGCATTTATTCTTTAATATTCACTTTAGAATCTGCTTTTCAAATTACTTGACTAATAATGTTGACATTGTAATACCTTTTTTATTTTCTAATGTGTATATTAACTAGAGGAGAAACAAAGTGCTTATATCATTGAGTTTTTCTAGCCATGAACACATTTATATTCATTTTTGTGTTCATTGAAAGCTCTTGTGGCATTCTATGCAAACACAGTAAATATTTCTACTTGGGGACATTTTGAGGACAATTCATTGTTCACATTGCTATTGTTAGATGGTTTAGTGTAATTATTGCTTGTGTAAACCACATTATTGATTTTTGTTTATTGAGACTATTATAAATTTAAGTTTCCTATAGTCACAGCAATAATGCATAATGAATAACCACAAAGTATCAGTAGCATACAGTGATCTGTATAAGCATTTATTTAGACCATGAGGCTACACTTTGGCTTGAGGTCAGTTGACCTAGACTGAATCCAGCCAGATACTCCTGTTGGTGTTATCTAGTCTCACTCACACATCTGAGCCTGGCTGGAAGTCAGCTGAAGTAGAAGTGACTTGTCTAGGAATGCATCTTCTCCTTCCCATCCTCAGCCTTTCATAGTCAACTGGCTTAGGAGAGTTTCTTCTCATTGATATGGCAGAAATGAATGCAGGGAGAACATGCCCAATATTACAAATGCTTTTCAAGCCCCTGCTTGAGTAAATTCTGATAACATTCTGTTATGCAAAGCAACTCGTGTGGCTAAAACCAAACAGAAGTGGAGTAATATACTCTACCTTACTAGTTGCAAGAACTACAGAGTTACATGGCAAAGGGTGTTGATTGAGAAACAATAGTTTTAATGCCATTAATGCAATGTATGAGGCATCTACAATTTTTAGCTTCTTTATTATTTCTAACAGTCTTTCAGTTTGTAGTTGTGCTCACTTCAAAGGAGCGTATATTTTTACAAAGTTATAACTATTATGCACAAATATATATATTGCAGATGACAACAAGTGCTATCAAGCAAAATAAATCAGGGTTATGGAAGTAGAGAATGCTGGGACTGCAGTAATAGGAACTTCTCTTTTTTATAGGGAAGCCAGGAAAGGCTCCTCTGATAAGGTAACATCTAAGTTTAGCAGACATCTGAACCTAATGTACGAGTGAGTCAACGAGAATATGTGGTGGGAAGAATGCTCAAGTCAGTGGCAAAAGAAAATGCTATGCGATCATTTTGAAAAACAGCAAGTAGGCTGTGAGGCAGAAGTGAAGTGTAACTTAATAACTGTGGCAGAAGATGAGCTCAGAGAGGGAGCTGGAAGTGAGACAAACAAGCTTTCTGCCCTACGATAGGCATTTATTCTCACTGATGTATAACGCTACTGGTGGATTTTGATCAGAATAGGAATGTGAACTAAATTATTCCATCAAGTTCATTTTACCTGCATTATGGAGAACTGATTATACGTAGACAAAGGTGGAGAATAACTTATACCAGGGTAGTAGTGGTTGGTTGGTGAGAAACACCCATATTTGAGATAAATTTTGAAGGTAGAGCCAATATGTCAAGTTGATGCATGGGCTATGATATAAAAAAGAAAGGAAGGAGCCCAAATATTTAGTTTTAGTATCTAAAAGAAATTATTTACTATTGAGATAGGAAAGAATGCGGGAAGAACAGCCTTGAGAGACAAAATAGGTAAAACAACTTGGGAACATGAAGTTTGAGAAAAATATTACATACACAAGTGGAGATGTTGAAAAAGCAGTTGTATATATGCTTGGCGTTTTAAGGGGCAGGTCACAGCTGGAGATAGAAATTTGAGTGTTGCTCTTCTATAGATAATATTTAAAGACCCTACTGAGTGATTCAAAAGGAAATCCTCAAAGCACCAAAGGAGTAAATGTAGAGAGTAAGGAAAAATGGAAAAAGAACTACGCTTAGAGGGACTTCACTGGTAAGAGATGGGTGTGGCAGATGAAGAACAAAAGTTATCAGGAAGTGTGGCTAGTGAGGGAGAAGGAAATCCCCCAAAAATTGAATCCTCAGAATAAATTAAAAACAAAAAAGGTTTGAGAAGTAATCAATATCAAATGCTGCTAAAGTATGATATTTGTTTAATTTTTACAATAAAATATCATTTTAAAATTAAAGGCTTCATGCCTGTTTCTAACTTGCTAATAGTGGTTTTCCTTTTTTCATTTGCAATAGGAGTGTTAACCTTTCCTAATTGTGATTATCTTGTTTTCATGCTTCTAATTTGTGATGGGTGTATTGGAGTAAGTGTATTCATATTATAGCCTATATTTATGTACTAGAAGAAACCATATTAAATCTTTCATTGAGATATTTATATTATGCGGATGCTCTGAAATTATAAAGGGATTTAATAGCTAATTAAGTCATTATTTCTTATTTTTGTATAAGGTAAATGAGTATTTGGTTGAAACTGGTACAATGATATCAGTGATGTAATTTTTGAAAATGCATCTATGGAGAAGAAGGATGTACATGGATGCTGGAAAAAGAGAGACTAACTCTAGTACCTATAATTTTCCTTCTGCCTAGTCTCTACTCTTACTTATTTTATTAATGACGTTTAGTTTTTTCTGAGAAGCCACTCCTCCTTGACTGGAGGCTGACTAGAATTACATTTCAACTGTATAGCAATTATCAGGTATATGCTCCTGGCTTTAATGACCATAACAGCACAGTCCCTTCATAAAATAACAGTTTTTATACACACAAAGCCAAAACGCTAAAGCTGTATCCCAAAATTATTGAGGGGGAAAATAAGATGTCTTTCCTCTGGAAATAAATCTCTTTGATACACTCTTGGGGTCACAATGTCAGGAAAGATCTTCTGAGAATGAGACCACAACAGAAGAAATGGAGCAAAAGATTATTATAGCACACAAGCTTCTGACAGGGCCAGTTCAACACCAGGATGCAGTTTGTTTGTTTGTTTGTTTCCACGAAATTTGATGCTACACTCCTCTCTTGCACAACTTCTTAAGGGAATTCTATCTTGGATGCTGTAAGGATTCACTAAGTTGCAAGGGACAGAAATATCAAGATAAAATAGCTTTTATTGGTCCACCTAATTGAAAAGTTCATGGTAGATTTTGTTTTTTTCAGAAACTGCTGAAAATGGACACTTAACTGATTTTTATTCTGACTTCCACTCCATTTTCACATCATGCCATTTTTTGAAGTGACAAGATACCATACAAATGATGGGAAGAATCTGTCAGACCTTTCTGTATTTATCTAGACTAGGCAAATTAGGGATCACATATCTATGAATGGTCAATCACTTTAGTTCCAGACATTCAGGCTTATTGTTGGCTAGAAACTGATCTGAGCCACAAAGACTGAGAATGGTAGAGAAACTTCAGGGCATTGTGACAAGGAAGGGTGAAGTCATGGTCAGCAAAGCAAGAATTATCCACTACTAATGCCCATCCATATATCTATTTATTTGAACAATTATCCCTATTTTCATTTCATCTTACAAACTTTTTAATTCAATTATTATATTTTTACATTCTCAACTTTTCGTTTCTCTAGAAAGATGAGTTTTCCTTACAAGTGTCTTGGTTAATTCTTCACCATGAATATGATAATGTATCCATCTGTTTGTCCTCTTACCTGTTTGGCTGTGAAAATTTTCCATTGTTGAGGATGATGTTTGTTTGTTTCTGGTACCTCAATGTTTAGTGATTTGTGGATATAGACTTATCTATGGCTTCATATACTGTAACATAGTATCTGTTTCTCTAACCTATCTTTAGTGATTGCATTGGTGCAGTCAGACCTGCTATATATGGTTTACCAAGTGTGTGTCAGCTGCCCTTCTTGCCTGGTAGATAGTAGCTACTTAAGGAATTTCTTGATATTGCTAGCCCATTGCTCATATTCATAGCAAAAAAAAATACTTTGCTTCCTGCTTTCTGCTGTCACAGTATTAGAGAACAGCAGCTGAACAACTAGAGGCTTTAAAAGCAGCATCTCATGTATCAAATTGATCATCGAATCAGAACTTAATCCTTAACCTTCAGTCCTCTAACTTTGTTCTCAAAGCTCTACCAAACAATGCCTATCTCCCTAAATATTTGCTCCTGCTACATTTTTCTATTTTTTTATCCAGTATTATTTTCCACATATACACTACAATTTTTTATCTTCAGACTGGTCTCTTCTTTTCCAATGTTGCATTAATTTTTAGTTTCGTAATCTTCCATTAATGGTATTTAGTTTGAGGCATAAGAGATAAGTAATGTTGTCTATATTTTCAATCCTATTTATAGTGTCTTTGTTTTCTTTATTCTTTAGCCAGAAGATATTTTTATTTTTTAAAATATTTATGTATGTAAGTATGTATGTAGGTATGTATGTATTTATTTATTTATTTTTGAGACAGAGCTTCGCTCTTGTTGCCCAGGCTAGAGTGCAAGGTGTGATGTTGGCTCACCGCAACCTCTGCCTCTGGGGTTCAAGTGATTCTCCTGCCTCAGTCTCCTGAGTAGCTGGGATTACAGGCATGTGCCACCATGCCTGGCTAATTTTGTATTTTTAGTAGAGATGGGGTTTCTCCATGTTGGTCAGGCTCGTCTTGAACTCCCGACCTCATGTGATCTGCCCGCCTCGGCCTCCCAAAGTGCTGGGATTACAAGTGTGAGCCACCATGCCCGGCAGATATTTTTATTTACTTTTAGCAATTTTATTATTTCTTACTGAATGTTCTCTCTCTTTGTTTTCTTCTGAGTTAGCTTTTGAAAACATAAAGTTTAAAAATATAACATTTGAAAATATAAAATTGTGGTATAAATATTTTGAGATTCAGTATAAAAATGATTCACTACGATGTATCCATGAAACACTACTAAGTACCTTTCCTGGGTAAGAAGACTGGGGGCAGTTTTTTCTAAATAATTTATTAATAAACTTAATGCATACCACTTGGTCATGAAAATGTGTTTTCTTTAACATAGAAAATTATTAACAGAATGTAATATTTAAGTGGCAAAAAATATAAATGAAGTTCTGAGTATATAGTTACACATGCCATACATTCCCAATGTACTTTAATTATTATATCCCACAATCTAGTAATTATAAAACAGATTCATTGGTACACAATGACTAAAAGATTTTGAATATGAACCAAAAGAGTCTGTTTCTAAGAATGGTGTTTGGTAGAACTTTGAGACAAAAAAAGAATAGAAACTCAACATGGAAGTTGATCAAATTTAGCTTTATATAACTGAAACTGATATTCATTTTGTTTCATTAACAATTTAATTAGTGTGCTGAATACTCAATATTAAATACTAGTTTTAAACATACATAAGTTTGCATGTGCAATTATTTTATTACAGTTTTATTAAACCAGATTACAAGCAGATTTTAAAAATAGGTAATTATTGGGTATTTGAAGGGATATGCAATGGTTCTCCATATACAGAAAATTGGGTCACCACGAAACAATGTTAATGACAATAACACTAATTATAACAGTAAACATGTGTTAACAGTTAATCAAGATAAACATTCCTGAAACAAATAGCCATTTACATGATACTAGGCCTCTGAAGAACATAATAACAGTCAAAAATTGAACCATATCTTCACAGCATATATTACGTTTTAGGATTGAAAACAAATAGAACCTCATAACTCCCCAGGTAGAAGAATTTGGGCACCAAAAATGCAAAACGACAACAACAACAACCCTCAGGGTAACTCATCTTATTAATTATCTTACATAAAATTAAAAAAGAAAGAAACTTAAGAAGTGTCTGTAGAATTTTGAACCAACTCATGCTTTTCTGAATGAGGCAACAATTTCAAATATATAACAACTTTGAAAGTATTCTTATCTTTCTTTCATTATAAACTTATTTAAAAATTTTAACAATTCAGCTAATATGTGAATCCAAGTTAAACTTTCAAGAATGGAAGTAGAGGTATAAAAGTACTGGCAGAAATCAATTAAACTCACTTATACAGAGAATGTACAAGAAATAACCGAAGCACTTTTGGTCCCAAAATGAAATACAGTTTTCAAGAAGCATTGCTAGGTGTTCATTGAGAAATGTCTTCTTCTAAGTTTTATCACTCCTTTTTTCTGGATTTCTCTGAAGTTGACGTAATCATGAAAAACTTTCATTTTCTTCACCTTCTCCTTTATAAACATATATACTTATACACATATACAGAGCTTTTTATTCTTTGCACTGAAAGAAAAAAAAAATTTTTTTGGTTAAGCTGAATGGTAGATCTTCATGATCAATGATATCTGGGCTCCAAGGGAAGACACATTCTATTTTCTGTATATTATTTATTCAGTCTTATGTGGAAGCTTAATAAGCAAGAAATGGTTGAATCTGACACCACAAACAAAACTTTCTTATTCTGTCTTCAGTGTGTTGGATGAAAATGAAAGAGCTTTCTCCTTAATACAAAAAGCAAGACTTAAACCAGGGTTATGTCTGTCTCTTTGTAAAATAGTAGCATAAAATAAAAGGCAGAAGATTGAACATAAGTTTAGGCTTATAAATCAAAGCAACTCCAACATTCACATGAGTTCCAATGAATGAATATATTGTCCTCTGATTAACTAGATACATAATTCTCCCTCTGAGGAAGAGAAAATAAGGAAGAGGAGTTGAAATGTTCCCTAAAATTCTCTCATGTGGGTAGAATAGCTTGAATTTTTCACATTCCTATAGGCTACATAACAACAAAAAAGACAGGATTTGAACTTAACCTCATTTCAGTCACAAGTATTTGTTATTTTCCTCATAGCATTTAAGAATTAAGGGGTGAGGTGGCTATTCCGGGGGGAAAACAATCAGTAGCATATCAGCTAATTCTTGCTCTCAGTTTTGTTGGGCCAGTATCCAGTCCCTGTCACATTCCCTATGCATTCTGTGCAGCTCATCAGAGGATACTCCATAATAATCTAACTTAATTCAAAGAAAATTTCCAGATTTGATCTCTTCATTAAATCACATGAGGAGAATCAAAATGTAAGTGAAAAATACATTGCCTCTTATTAAATACCACTATAGTGATTTGTGCCAGAAAAACCTGTCTAAAGGTTACAGATTTGATTTGAGACTCAGAGAGAATCCTCTCAAAACACAAGTCAAATAGAGCATTCAGAAGTTAAGGGAATAAGAATAACAAAATAAAAAACAAATGAGAAATACACACACACACACACACACACACACACACACGCAGATTGAGCAAGAGAAAACACTGGAGGGAAAAAAGGGTGTTTCTTTAGAGAAAAGGTTAAAAATTCAGTATCTAGAGATATATAAAAGTTAAAAGAATATAAAAAATACTTATAATTGTTGCTAAAGGTAAGGCTAGAAAACACTGCATATTATGGCTATTACTAGGTCAAAGGGACCACTGAGACTCAACATTGTTTAACCATGTAAAGACCTTAGTGATCAGACTAGAATTGCTTACCTGGAGGAAAGCTGTATCAAGAAAATCAGTTAAGAGTTGTCCTCTGAAACTGGTAGAGAGTAAGTTGATTGTAAGAGCAATTGAGGATTCTCTCCTTTATTATTTGCACAGCTATTGTAGGTTATTATATATGATTTGAAATAATTTGATGGTAAAGTCCTGGAATTTTACAAAATGGCACAGTTTCTGGAGCCAGGAAGGTACATACATTGAGGAAATCTTCAGAATAACAGCATTTTGAGTATGTGAGTGTCTGTGTCATGAGAATGTATTTATTTGTAAAAGAAAATACGGAGATATAGCTACATAAATGTGACTGCAAAAACTTCCTCCTAGACCTTGATTAGATGTTGGGAAGATATGTCCTGGATAAGTAACCATAAATAAGAAAGTGAGAGTCAACAGATATGTTTAAACAATAAATAAATCATCAGGCTCAGAACCATTGGCATTGATATCTTACAGAGGGAAATTTGCAAAAAATATATGTATATATATGAGGATAATAAGATAAAACAGTAAAGGTCTGGCCAAAGGCAAAGAAAATATAAAAGAATAATGAAACTCAAATGTAGAAAACTGACTTATTCTCTTTGTTGGAAAAGATACCAAATTAGAAAAGTGACTTATTCTCTTCGTTGGAAAAGATACCAAATTAACATTTATGAACGAATTAGAACCTTTAACAATTCAAGAAATATCAAGGGATAATGGAATGGCACTCAAGGGTAGGAAACATTTTGGTTCTCTCTGTTGAAAATGATACCAAACTTATTTTAAAAAGTAGACAAAACTTTTAACAATTTAACAATTTAAGTTGACCTGCTTAAAAGGAATAGAGGAATAACAGGAATGAGCACTTAGAAGCAGATATAAATTATTTGAAGCCTGGAAAATGCAAATGCTGATAACAGAAGAAAGAGAGAACAGCACAAGGCATAGAGTTCATTGATCTTCAATGTAAATATGGGCACAGACTTTGGAAATATTTACAACAGAAACTTAAATTTGAGTTTTCTGCTAAAGCTGATTTTTCAGCTTGACAGTTGATGGTATGCATGGCTAGAAAGGAGGATTCATAAAAAGCTGAAACATCCACTGGGACAGTGATACAAAGAACTCTTGGAATCCTACTGGAGATAAAAAATGCATAAGCAATAGCAAGAATTGTATTTTGGGTAGAATACAAACAAACATAGGCTCAAATGGAGAGTGTTGAGTTGTGAATGAGTGTTGCTATGTTCAGGAGACAGACAGGATATAAATAAGCAAATAAATAATCACCACCAACAAAACATGCACTTAATTCAGCATTTGGAACTCAAAGACACAAGGAGCTCATAGAATAAAGAACTTTAAGACCATTTTCTTTCTTTCTGTGTGAATATGTGTGTGCATGTATGTGTTTTAAATATTACTCGATAAGAAAAGAGGCAAGATGCAAAGGAACCAAATGTCTCAGTGAACTCATAAGGATAGGTTCTACGACTGGAGTAGTCCATAGATTTGTGGTTCTCAAAGAGCTGGCAGTGATGGATTTACAAACTGGAAGATTAAATGAAATGAAATGCTTACTTCTCTTAGGTTTTATTGTCTATTCAGCTTTTCCCAGAACATATAAAATTACTAATAGTTCATGCCTACCAAGTGCACTACTTTGGAAATCTCACTCATGCAGAATATGTTGTGAATGACCTGTGTCTTGCAGAGTTGTACAAGATAGTTCCTCTGCTATAGTTCCCACTTGGCAATGGCAAAATGGGGCATCATGCTTTGGGGCTCCAATTAATATGAAGTTAGCCTTTGCTGCATAAAAAAACTAACTTGAAACTAAGCATTTGCATTTTTAGGTCTCTAGATTGGCTATGGTTGCTCTGATTCAAGGTGCAGACAACTGATCTTTTAATGGAGTTCAAATGCTGTTAGGGACAAGGATAAATCTAGATTGGGCAATCTGTTACTGTTGCCCACATTCTATTGGCCAAAGCAAATCACATGACAAAATCCAACATTAATAGAGTAGGAAAATGTACTCCTCCATGTGGAAGGGAGTAATGTTTGCTGGTGACTGTAATAATCAGAATAATGCTCTCTAAAAGATCTTGATCTGTAAATATGTTACCTTACAGGACAAAGGGAAAAGAAAATTGCAGATGTTTTAAATTTGCTAATTTGCCGATTGTAAAGCAGGGAGATTATTGTCAACTACCTGGATGGGCCCCATGCAACCAGAAATTCCTTTCAAAAGCAGAACAGATAATCAGATATGAAATAGAGAATAGTCAGAAAAAGATGCAATATTGCTGGCCTTGAAGATGGAAGAAGGGGTCTTAAAACTAAAAAATGAAGTCAGCATTTAGCAAGTAGAAAAGATAAGCTAATAGATTCTCCCCTCTATCTCCAAGAATGGAATTTAGCCCTGCTAACTAATTTTAACTCTACCCCAATGAAGCCGATATCAGACTTAAAACTTACAGAAGTGTAAGATGATAAAATTGTGTCACTGGAAGTCATAAGTCTGTGGCAATTTGATACAGCAGCAATAGAAAACTAATACAGATAGTAACCCCATTGGCCATATAATTGAATAATTCCATCTTAACAATTTTAATTGAAGTTGATTATTCTTGTTTGCCAATGAGACTTTGGAAAATGTATAAAATTTTCAGATTGCTTTAGGTTTACTTTGTTCTTTTTTTTTTTTTCCTAGTTCTTCAGGTAAATCCTAGATTACTGATTTGAAACCATTCTTTTTCTGTCATATAAAATTACTTCTAAGGACTGTTTTAACTTCATTCCATAAATTTTGATATGAAGTTTTATTTTTTGTTGTTGAAAACTATTTTCTAATAACTCAGGATTTTTCTTTGATGAATGGGTTATGTGCTGTTTTTTTTTTAATTTGGGATGTCTCACAGAATTCTTTCTGCCATGAACTCTAACTTAATACAATTTTTTTGTCATCAGAGAACATATTTTATTTGATTTTAATTGTTTTTGAGATGTATTTTATGGCCTAGAATATGTTTTTTCCTGGAGAATTTCTTTATGATTGAAAATAATAGGCATTTTGTAGTTATTGTGTGAAATATTCTATATTTGTCAATTGTTTTGGGCTACTGGATGTTATTATTCAAGTATTCTCTTCCTTTTTAAATTTTCCTTGTTTTCTTTCTTTTAATTAGTGAAAAAACTGTTAGATATAAAGGAAAATACACAATATAAAATTAATAATAGCTGATTTTAATACTCATCTCTCAATAGTTAAGAGAAGAAATATATATATATGCATATACATGTATATATGTGTATGTGTGTATACACACTTTGGAATTGGATTAATTTAATTTTAAAAATAAAGATTTTTGTGTGTGTATATGTATTTCAGTACTGCCAAAAGTAAATTAAATATGTATATATTTAATTTGTTTTTACATTATTCATAAAATAATTAAAATAATCAAATTTTAATGAAATAACATTTAATTATTTAAATATAATTAAATATGTACATATTTAATTTAATTTTGAAGTACTGAATACATGCATACATACATGCACACATATATATATATATATATATATATATATATATATACACAAATATATGCCTACATTATGCCTACAGACACAGAGAGATAGATATGAGCCATTTACCTAAGAATAGAGGCATGGATAGATGAAAACCAGCCCTTGCAACTGCTAATAATGCTCCTACCATAAAATTCAAACCAAAGCTATCTCAAATAAATATCTCCTGGTTAAAATGAAGGTAAGACATTGACTACTATGATATTTAGATTTTTTACATTTGAACTTAAAAAATAATAATTTTATAAGAAAAAGTGAAATAAATGAATTACATTTTATAATAAAATTATAACAAATAATTACATTATAAATATTAATATATCAATGTATTATATTAATATTGTATTAATATATTATTAAATATAATAATATTACCTTTATTTTATCTAAAATGGTATAATTTGTGGTAATATTCAACTTTTCATCTAGATTAATATATAATATTGTCTGATTAACATTTTGGACTCATAGATGGATATGATTCAAGATAATAAAAAAAGGGAATGTGTGAAGTTTTGTTCACTTCAGAGACCTTTGTATACAATGAATGAATTGACTAACTGTAGTCCATACAGAGTAGTTATAGATACTGACATAAAGACACAAAAGAAATGGAAATGTTCATTGTTATGCATATGCCTTTTTATATCCATGCATATGCAATGGTTTATTGTGTCCTCCTCAAATTCATATGTTGAAACTTAATGACCAATATGATAGTCACAAGAAGTGGAGCCTTTAAAGGGTGCCTAAGTCATGAGAGCAGTCCTCATGAATGAGATTAGTGCCCTTACAAAAGAGGTTGAAGTGACCTGACTTTTCTCCTGAGGATGTAGTTTCATGGCACCATCTTCAAAGCAGAGAGAGAAGCCTTCACCAGACACTGAATTCGCTGGCAACTTGATCTTGAACTTCCCAGCTTCAAAACTGTAGGAAATACATTTCTGTTCTTTGTGAATTACCCAGTCTAAGATATTTTGTTAAAGCAGTATGAACACACTAAAACAGCGTACCTACTTAAACAACAGCAACAACAAACAAACAAACAAACAAACTCAAATTTAAAAAATGGCTGGGTGCAGTTTCTCACATTTGTAACACCAGCGCTTAGGGAGGCTAAGGGAGGAGGATCACTTGAGCCCAGCCATTCAAAACCAGCCTGGGCAACATCATGAGACCCCCATCTCCACAAAAAAATGAAAAAATTATTCAGACATGGTGGCATCCAAGTGTAGTCCCAGCTACTCAGAAGTATGAGCAGGCGGGATCACTTGAGCCTGGGAGGTTGAGGCTGTGGTGAGCTGTGATTGCGCCAGTGCGCTCCAGCCTGGACCACAGAGCAAGACTCTGCTCCCCATCTCCCATAGACAGAATATGTTAGATTTTATTATTGAGTTAAAAATACAGTGAAAAAGGATGACTTTTAGTAAAATAATAGCAGACCAATATACAAATAAAAGATCACAGAAACTGAGAGGATAGTCTAAATATCTTTGCCTAAAAAATCAACAGATCCAAAGTATTTAGGTTCACGTTTCACCCAATCTTTCTAAAATAGGTATTTACTAAACTGTATAATTTTTGTAAAGCAGAGGAAAGACAAGAGAGTTTCATATTGGATTTATTTAAAGATAGAAGTAAGTAAATATATGTTAACAATTGAAGTACAATAGACTAATCATATTCACGAAAGCAGATACAAACCTTCTAAATATAATAATAGCAACCAAATTTATCAGTACATTAAATGAATAAATATTAAAAGTACTGCCATAATAAAAAAATGGCAATTTTTAAATCAACCATGGTCTGCTTACATTTTGAAAAAATATATTTAGGCCAGGCACGGTGGCTCATGCCTGTAATCCCAGCACTTTGGGAGGCTGTGGTGGGTGGATCACAAGGTCAGGAGATCAAGATCATCCTGGCCAACATGGTGAAACCCTGTCTCTACTAAAAATACAAAAAGATTAGCTGGGCATGGTGGTGCGCTCCTTTAGTACCAGCTACTTGGGAGGCTGAGGCAAAAGAATTGCTTGAACCTGGGAGGCAGAGGTTGCGGTGAGCCAAGAGTGCACCACTGCACTCCAGCCTGGTGACAGAGCAAGACGCCACCTCAAAAAAAAAAAAAAGTATATATATATACACATACATACATACATATATTATATATATATACTTATACGTTACTAAAGGAAATATGTTTTGGTAAAATTTAACTCATACTTACTAATGTAGGAAATATGGAAACAAATTTGCTGTAATTTGATAGATGATATTTACTTGAAAAAATATAATGATGAAATATTAGAATATTTTATTAAAGGGAACAAAAATCAAGGATGTCTATCATCATAATTGCAACTCTATATCATATTGGAAATTCTAACTAATTGAAATTACATAAACAAAATTTATACAATTGGACAGAAGTGACAGAAAACATAATTATTTTGCAAAGTTATAAGCAAATCAATTGACTTGATTGTTTAAGGACATCAAATAATTAATGTAAGCATGATTATTGGATCAAAAACAAATTTCAGTAAGGTAAACAGAAGATCCCAAGATAGTATATTTCTTGTTATAAGTACCAAGAGTTATAATATGTAATGGAATAGAATTTTTCATTCACTGCAGTCATAATTATTACCAAACATTTCTAATAAATAATGAAGAAAGCATATTACATAAAATAAATAAAATTTTGAATAAAAAGCAGACATTTTCTTGTGTGGAAAAATTAGTAAGGTTAATTCTGTGGTGAGCTGTGATTGCACCAGTGCACTCCAGCCTGGGCCACAGAGCAAGACTCTGCTCCCCATCCCCCATAGACAGAATATGTTAGATTTTATTATTGAGTTAAAAATACAGTTAAAAAGGATGACTTTTAGTAAAATAATAACAGACCAATATACAAATAAAAGATCACAGCAACATACTGTATTACTCAGAGTTCTCTAGAGGGACAGAACTAATAGGATAGATGTATATGTAAAGGGGAGTTTATTATGGAGTATTAACTCACATGATCATAAGGTCCCACAATAGGCATCTGCAAGCTGAAGAGCAAGGAAGCCAGCCCAAGTCCCAAAGCTGAAAAACTTGGAGTCTGATGTTCAAGGGCAGGAAGCATCCAGCATAAAAGAAAATGTAGGGTGGGAGGCTAAGCCAGTCTGGTCTTTTCGTACTCTTCTGCCTGCTTTTTATTCTGGTTGCAAAGGCAGCTGATTAGATTGTGCCCACCAGGATTAAGGATGGGTCTGCCTTTCCCATTCCACTGACTCAAATGATAATCTCCTTTGGTAACACCCTCACGGACACACCCACGAACAAAACTTGGCATCCTTCAATTCAATCAAGTTGACACTCAGTATTAACCATCACACATACTATGGAACTTTGGCAGTATAACCTTGCATTAACAAAAATATGATATGTAAAAAATAATCAGAATTTGGTTCTGCTACTACTTGCTTTGGTTTTAGATCCTCTAACAACATTCTGCATGATCCTTTCAGATTTTCTAAAGAACAGACCGATAAATTAAATGGTAATAGAATGGAACTAGCACCCTACATATGCAGATCTTTTAGAGTGGAATTTGTCTTTCTCATCATACCCAGTTGTGATATTGTTTGCAATTTACTGTCTTATCTGGAGGGTTGAAGGTAGTTCCAGGAGCTGACACTGGTGGTTTTGCCAACTGCAAGGCAAGTTCATTCCAATTATACATCCATGGTTTGGGAAAAGAACTACAGAGTGGTTCTTTATTCTGGTGGACTCATGAACTGACAGAAACTCATTTATTCCTTGGCCCACATATGCCCTGACTCTAAGTGTGGTTATAATGATGTGTCAGGTTTTTATTTAAGTGTCAATATTCTCTTGGAACCTGAAATATCTGTGAATTTCCCTTTTCCTCATGTAAGTTACATAAATAAATGATCATAATTCTCTTGGGGGAAGGGCAGGTTTATCCTTACCAAATATTTCTGATTCCTGAAGCTTGGGCTCTGTGTTAGTTGATGGGTCCTGGGTAGTCAATGTGTTCTGGGTATAATTACTAGCTTAGATCTAGAAACTGCATAAATCTACCACTAGCCTTCTGTTTATTCATCTTCAATTATTTTTGGTTGTGTAAATTGGCTAGCATTATTGCTGGATGGTTATGGAGGCTGCCTTTAGGAGCACTATTCTGTTATTTTAACCATAGCTTTCTGAGTCCAGGACTTCTAACCACCATTCTGATATTTCTCTTCTTTACAATAACTTTCACCAACTGACCTCTGGTGCTTAAGAATTCATACCTAGATCTAATTACTTAGGGGTCTTTTTGTCTGGATTGTTCACAAAGTGGCTAGTTACATAATAGTATCTTCAATTGTCCCTTCTGGCTTTCAGATGACAGAGATGACAGCCATCACTGAAATTTCAAAGAACTCTGGCACATTTTTAAAATTATTATTCTCATTTTAATTGTTTATTTTTATAAGTTCAACTTTTTATAGATTTGGGGATAGATATAAAGGTTTGTCACCTAGGTATATTTTGTGATGCTGGTTTGGGGTACGTTTGGTCCTGTCATGCAGGTACTGAGCATACTTAGTACCTAATAGTTACTCAACCCTTGCCAACCTTTCTCCCTCTTTCTTCTAGTAGTCCTCAGTATCTATTGTTCTCATCTTTGTGTTTATCTGTGCTCAATGTTTAACTCTCACTTATATGTGAGAACATGTGACATTTAGTTTTTTGTTCCTGCCTTAATTTGCTTAATGGCCTCTAGCTGTATTCATGTTTCTGCAAAAGACATGGTTTTATTCTTTTTTATGGCTACATAGTGGACCATTCTATGGTGTATATGTACTGTGTTTTCTTCATCCATTCAATCATTGATGGGCATCTAGGTTGGTTTCATGTCTTTCCTGTGATGAATAGTACTGTGATGGACATATGGGTACATGTGTCTTTTTGTAGAATAATTTATTTTCTTTGGAATATATGCTTAGCAATAGGATTCTAGAACATTTCTTACAGCCTTGTAAAATAGAGTGTTTGTCAGACTCTCTAGTGACACTATTATTCTATAATGAGTCTCCAGTAATAGTTATACTTCATAGTATGCTCACTCTCAAAGGCTTTGTTCTCTCCCTCTACAATGTGCCACAGCTATTCTGGTCATTTTATTCACTTAATATGAACTTTCGCTTTTCACAAAGCTTCTAAGACACAACCTAGGGATGTGTTAACAATGTTTTTGAGTTATTACCGAAGTGTCAAATCCTACGAAATAACCATATCTTATTTCCATATTAATAAACTGTCATTTATTGAATCCTGTTTTCTTGTTCTTTTGGATTTATACCCTCAGAATCTAGTCTTATACATTGTATTATTGCTGGTATTAATATTTTCTATAGCTTTTGGAGGTATAATACTTTTTTCCATGATTAGGTCCTAATCTCTCCAGTGAAGATATGTAAGACTTTAATCATTGGTCTGCTAACAGGAGGAAAATTGGGAGCAGATTCTGAAAATGTTTTGCCTCTCAAGGCAGAGGCCTCTGTAACAATCACCGTCATGAAGCAATAATATGGGGAACAGTATTCTCTAGCAATGTGAAGGTAACTATTTCTATAAACTGAGAATGTTCAGGGGACTCTGGGCTGCTACAAAGCAGATGTCATCATTACACACTTCAGGGTCTCAGGACTTTGGCACAGAGGACCGGCTATGGTTAAAAATTTATTTAAGTTCCTTTGTAGATTCTGGATATTAGATCTTTGTCAGATGTGTAGATTGCAAAAATATTCTTCCATTCTGTAGGTTGCCTGTTCACTCTGATGATAGTTTCTTTTGCTGTGCAGAAGCTCCTTAGTTTAATAAGATCCCATTTGTCAATTTCAGCTTTTGTTGCAATTGTTTTTGGTGTTTTTTGTCATTAAGTCTTTGCCCATGCCTGTGTCCTGAATTGTATTGCCTAGGTTTTCTTCTAGGGTTTTTATGGCTTGGGCTTTTACATTTAAGTATTTAATCCATCTTGAGTTAATTTTTGTATAAGGTGTAAGGAATGGGTCCAGTTTCAGTTTTCTTCATATGCCTAGCCCATTTTCCCAGCACCATTTATTAAATAGGGAATCCTTTCCCCATTGATTTTTTTTGTCTGGTTTGCAGAAGGTCAGATGTTTGTAGATGTGTGGTATTATTTCTGAGGTCTCTGTTCTATTTTATTGGTCTATATGTCTGTCTTGGTACCAGTACCATGCTGCTTTGGTTACTGTAGCTTTGTAGTATAGTTTGAAGTTAGGTAGCATGATGCCTCCAGCTTTGTTCTTTTTGCTTAGGATTGTTTTGGCTATAGAGGCTCTTTTTTGGTTCCATATGAAATTTAAAGTAGTTCTTTCTAATTCTGTGAAGTATGTCAATGTCAATGAAGAATATGTGAAGAACATGAAGAATAGGATTGAATGTATAAATAAATTTGGGCAGTACAGCATTTTCATGTTATTGATTCTTTCTATCTGTGAGGATGGAATGTTTTTCCATTTTTCTATCCGTGAGTATGGAATGTTTTTCCATTTGCTTGTATCCTCTCTTATTTCCTTGAGCAGGGGTTATAGTTCTCCTTGACAAGGTCCCTCACATCCCTTGTTAGACGGATTCTTAGGTATTTTATCCTCCTTGTAGCAATTGCGAATGGGAGTTCATGATTTGGCTGTCTGTCTATTGTTGGTGTACTCGAATCCAGAATCTACAAGAAACTTAAGCAAATTTACAAGAAAAAAACAAATGACCCCACCAAAAAGTGGGCAAAGGATATGAACAGACACTTCTCAAAAGAAGACATTTTTGTGGCCAACAAACATATGAAAAAAAGCTCAACCTCAATGATCGTTAGAGAAATGCATATTAAAACCATAACAAGATACCATCTCATGCCAGTCAGAATGGCGATTATTAAAAAGTCAAGAAACAATAGATGCTGGCGAGGCTGTGGAGAAATAGATATGCTTTTACGTTGTTGATGGGAATGTAAATTAGTTCAACCATTGTGGAAGACAGTATGGTGATTCCTCAAGGTTCTAGAACCAGAAATACCATTTGACCCAGCAATGTCATTACTGGGTATGTACCCAAAGGAATATAAATCATTCTACTATCAAGACACATGCACACATGTGTTTGTTGCAGCACTATTTACAATAGCAAAGACATGGAACTAGTCTCAAATGTCCATCGATGATAGGCTAGATAAAGAAAATGTGGTACATATACACCATGGAATACTAAGCAGCCATAAAAAGGAGTAAAATCATGTCCTTCGCAGGAAGATGGATGAAGCTGGAAGCCATTATTCTCAGCAAACTAACACAAGAACAGAAAACCAAACACCACATGTCCTTACTCCTAAGTGGGATTTGAACAATGAGAACACATGGACACAAGGAAGGGAAGGGAACAACACACAGCAGGGCAAGTTGGGGGGTAGGGGGGTGAGAGGAGGGAGAACATTAGGACAAATAGCTAATGCATGTGGGGCTTAAAACCTAGGTGACAGGTTGACAGGTACAGCCAACCACCATGGCACACATATACCTATGTAACAAA